>NC_000006.12:94869851-95020790 GCF_000001405.40 Homo sapiens | reverse complement strand
TGAAAAAGTTAATCCAAAATGTCTCTGTATGGTTTAATTTTACAAAATGTTTTGCAATGACAAAATTTTATATAATATATATTTATTCCATATATATATATATATATATATATATATATATATATATGGATCCCCGTGATATATATTTGTATATCAGAAACAAAAGCCTTCTAGAACTAATAATTGAGTTCACCAATATTGGAGGATACAAGATCAATCGATACGCAAAACTCAGTCATATTTCTGTAGATTAAAAAGGAACATGTGGAGACGAAATTAAAAATACAACATCATTTATACTCACTCCAAAGAAAATAAAACATTTAGGCAAAAACATTAAAAAGTTGTATGAAATATATATGCTAAAATTACAAAAAGCTGATGCAAAAAATCAAAGAAAACCTGAGTAAATGGGGAGATACAGTGTGTTCATGGATTGGAAGACTTAACACAGTGAAGATGTCTATTCTCCCCCAAATCAATCTATGGATTTCATGTAATTTAAGTCATATTTTACTAGATTTTTTATAGACATAGATAAGCTTATTCTAATATTCATATGGAAATATTAAAGTCAGAGAAGAGCTAAAACAATCTTGATGAAAAATAAGATGGGAGAAATCACTCAACCCATTATTGCATAAGTCTGTTATACAGCTATAAAAATAATCAGGAATGTGATATTGGCAGATAAATAGACACATCAATCAATGTGTTAAATAAAAGACAAAATAGAGAACTTATAAACAGATTAACACAAATATAAAAATATAGTCAACTGACTTTTTGACAGACTCATATTTAAATAAGAAAAAATAGTGTTTTTATCGCATTGTTCCGGAGTAATAGGATAGTCATAAGAGAAACTATGAACCTCCAATTAATCCACATGCCTTATATTAAAATATATTCAGGTATTGAAATATAAAATTATAAAACTTTTAGAAAACACATAAGGCAATGTATTTGGAATCCAGGCCTAAGCAATGAGGTCTTAGATTTGATACCAAAATTATCATCTAAAATAAAAAAATGGATAAATCAGACCTAATTAAATTTAAGATGATTTGTGCTTCAAAAGACCCTGTTAAGAAAATGAAAAAGCAGCCCATGGACTGGGAGTAAATATTTGCAAACCGCATGTCTGTCAAAGACTAACATCTAGAATACATAATGAACATTCAAACACCAACAGTAAAAAATAAATAAAAAACAAAACACACAAATCCAAATTGAAAATTGGCAAAATACGTCAGAAATTTCACCAAATAGTTTATACAGATAGCAATAAGCCATAAAAACGTCAGTAAAATTCCACAAATAATTAACACCATTAGCCATCGAGTAAAAGCCAATTAAAACCACAGTGAGCATTGTACATCAGAAAGGCTAAAATTTACAAAAAAAAAAGATAGTGACATCACCAAATCCTGGTGATGACCTGAAGGCACTGGATCACTCATACACTGCTGATGGGAGTGTGAAGTGGTACATTCACTCTGGAAAACAGTTTGAAAATTTTTAAATAAAATATCACATGACCCAGAAATTACACTCTTGAGCTTATATCTCAGAGAAATCAGATGTATCTTTATACAAGATCTATACATAAATATTCATAACAGCTTTAATCACAATAGACAGAAAACAATCCAGAACTGGAAACAATGTAGATGATCACCAAATATACAGATAATTAAACAAACTGTAGATCCTCCATGCTATATAACAATACTCTGAGATGTAAATGAATGGAATATTGCTATAAAGAACAGCTTGAATAAATCACCAAGGAATTGCACTGAGTGAAAAAAGTTAATCCAAAATGTCGCTGTATGGTTTAATTTTATAAAATGTTTTGCAATGACAAAATTCTAGAGATGAAGGGCAGATGGAGAGTTGTCAGGGCTCAGGAATGGAAATATGAAGGGATGAAAGTGTCGCTGTAAGAGGGAAACAGAATGGATCCCTATGAAGATGGAAATGTTCTGTATCTGGACTGTATCAATGTCAATACCCTGGTTGTGATATTGTACTAGATTTACATTGTATTTCAAGATGTTATCACTGGAGGAACCTAGATTAGGTGTACAAGAGATGTTTGTATTACTCTTTACAGGTACATGTGACTTTACAATCATCTCTCAAAATGAGAAGTTTAAATTAAAAAAAAGACTGTAAGAGACATAGTTCAAGTATTAGTTTTTCTGTTACATCCTTGAGGAAAACAAATTCCAAGAGTTGGATTACTTTTTGAGGACGTGCAGATAATATATTTAGAAATTTTGATTAATGCACAGGCTTTCTTAAATGTAGAGCAGCATTTTTTTTCTCCTAACCAGTTCCATTACAACACTTATTGCCCACGGTAAAAGGTCTAATATTAAGGACCAATATTAAGTGCTGCTTAGACAAATGGGGGAAGCCAGGAGGGCCTCAAATTGTCTAACCACAACTTCCAATCCCCATTCTTCCCTGATGGATAAGGTCTTCTAGCCAACAACCCTGCTTAATAAATTGACTAGATGTGCTTCCCACTTATCCTTGAGTAGCAGGTTTCAGTTATTTGTCAGTCTGTGAAACTATTCAAATAACCAAATAACAATCTCCTGTGGAGACCCTGGTTGTTCACTCAGTTCTGGAGCACAACTCCCCTGTGGCCCCATGTGGTCCTGCATGACATGTGATCTGCTCCTCCTCCAGGCTATAAGTGTATGTAACTAACAAACTGCTGCTGAGTTTATTGTTCCAGTGTCAGATGTAGTGTCTTTGCCTATCCCTCCAATCTTGGGATGGGAATCTCTTCCTCACCAATAGTATGACTAGAAGGCAAGTAAAATCCTTCCCCTTGTAACAAGCACACCCCTTCCCGTCGTTACCAATTAAATAGAGCAAATTACTATGGTGAAATTCCATCGCATTCGTGGATTTCCTAAAGAGTTTTGCTAGTAAAACTCTATAGGAAACTATGTCAATAGATAGAAAAGATTTTAAGCATTAAATTCATTATAGCCTTCACATATCAGTCTTCTAGAAGATATACAGTTGATACCTGAACAGCTTGTGAGTTAAGAGTGGTGACCCCCATACAGTCGAAATTCTATGTATAATTTTGACTCCCCAAAAACTTAGCTACTAATAGCCTACTGTTGGCTGGAAGGTTTCCTGATAACACAAACAGATGGTTAACACATATTTTGTATATTTATTATATTACTGTGTTCTTACAATAAAGTTAGAGAAAATAAAATGTTATTAAGAGAATCATAAGGAAGAGAAAATCAGTCCCATTAGTTTACAGCATCTCTTTACAAGTTTTATCACCTGTCTGAAATGGCAGGCAAACCTCAATCTATGGTACATATCAAGCAATTCAACTTTTCTTGTAATGTGGTAACTTTGATGCTTGGGAGCAATTCTAGCATCACTAGTGGCATTTTGTTTGGCTTCAACGGTGTTATTCAAGGTTTATGGTATAGCACTAAACATGATAAAAAATACTCAAGAAATGTGGGAGATCGCTTTTTACAGTGAATCACAATTTGCTGGAGAAAGGAACTACTCACACAAAGATGATTAGCATCACATGGTGTTATAAGTGGATACTCGCAACACATGAGCCCACTGCAACAGCAACAGAAGGTGGTTACACAATTATAAAAGTAGTAGAGTATGTACTACAGTTAACTTTATGCAGTTATGAATTAATATTGCATCTTTAAGTTTGTTCCCCTTTCTCTTGACAGCTAATGGAGCCATGTATGGTCTGTGTTCTATGTTTTGATAAATATTTACTTTGTATAACAGATTTGTTATATCTGATGGTAGCAAATAATAAAATAAACTGGTATCTACTGACATTCTATCTCTTCATGACATACCTAACTTTTAAAAATAATTGTTGATATTTCTAGGCTATACTGATTGTCTGCATGTTTTTCAAATTGTCACAAATCTCCCCCAAACTTTCCAATATATTTATTGAAAAACATTCACGTTTAGTGTTCACATGCAGTTTAAACTCATATTTTTTAAGGGTCAACTGTATACTGTCATCATTCATATAGAATCATTATATATTATCATTTTATGAAACACAAAATGATAAGCCTAGATAATTTCTCACTGTAGATGGGCAGCAATATTTAGGAAAAAAAATCTAAAATAAGAAAAGGCATAGAATTTTGATGCCATAACCACGACTATGACCATTTTTACAAAGAAGACAATATTACAAGTATAATAAGTTTAATAATAGCACTTGATTTATAATTTACATTGATTTCTCAATATAATTTACAGTACATTGTTCTTATATCATCTCGTTTATATTTGAAAACATGACAAATTATTAATATCTTAAGGAAAGTATTACTGCATTTTTAATTTAAAAACTAGGTGACATGCGCACTGAGTGGAAGTGCCACAGAAAAAATACATAAATGCTCTGAACTAGCTCACAGTGACAGCTGCGTTAACATCATTTGTTTTCGAGGTTTTTCAAATAACATTGAGTTTAATTCAATGGATTGAAAAGGGTTCTGGTATACTAAGTTAAATAAAGTGGGAGTAATTTCAATATTTTATGCAAATATAGGATGCAATAAGGAAATGATAAATAGGACAATTTTCACTTATGCAACAGGAAACACATACTGATTTGTAGGAAAATAAACCACAGATAATGTGAAAATAACAAATTGCTTACATGTAAAGTTCTAGGTGTTTTGATCAGCTGAGAGTATTCAAAAGTGTTTTAAAAATACTTTTAGCATCTAATATTGCGGACATTTTTCTCTGTGAAAATGTTTAATAAAAGTTACACAGAAATTTACTAAGGAAAATCTTTCCAATTTTATGTTATGATATTTGGAAATTTGAAATAGACAAATATCACTTATTCCTCCTTCCAGCCTGGAACACATGTTATTAACATCCTTCTTACCTGTTTTTTTCCTCTTATTAAAACCAGAGTAGTATTAAGCTGACAATAACTATTTGTAGATATTTGTAGACCTTATAATTTAATAAAAATGTTTCATCACATAAAATAAATAAATAAATAAATAAATAAATAAATAAATAAATAAATACATAAATGATTTTGGATGGCTACCTTGATTACCTCCCACTGTAAGAAATACATGATTTTCACTGTCATTGTAATAGTTCTGTGTACAAATTTATCACGGAACAGCTATCTACAGTCAGGTACTGAAGGCTAGTTTCTGTGAGCAGAAAGAAATGAACAACAACAGAAACAATTCTAAAGGGCTTTACAAATACTATAGAAGTTTGGATGATTATTTTTTTAGAAATTTAAAAGGAAATTATCAGTTGTCATAAAAACCCAGAGTATGCAACCTAAATAATATACAAACCTCCAAATGTGTTTCTAAGAGTCAAAAATTTCAGCGCAGATATAATCATGCTTATATATTAAGTCTTGAAAATATCTGTTTTGAAATGTTTAAAATAGTTTTTACTTTTTTTTCTTAGATGACTAGTTAACCTAAGTGCTAAGACAGTTCTCACGTTTAGAACTGAATAATAAGAATTTCTCAGATTACAAGAGAATAAATTCAGTGAAGTCCTGAGGTCTTTTATCGGAAGTATTAAGGACATTTACCTTTTATATTTTTGGGCCAGGAAATGAGTTTTATAGCTTAATGGCTGTATGGTCACTTGTACAGGCAAGTTGGAATGAGTATATCCAGAATCATATCCCCAGGCATTCAAATTTTTGTACTGTTAAAAAATTTTAAAACATTTAAAAGAAAGCGAGAAAAATTTCCTTATTTGAGAATTGTGCTAGCAACTGTTAAATGTCCACAAAATTGTTCTTTAAAATTGCCTAGCAAGTGGATCAGTGTACTTTGTTTACCATATGGGCATGCATAATAAATAATATAAAATTTTAAATATAAAATTTTAAAATTGTCTAGCAAATGGATCAATGTGCTTTATTTACCATACTGGCATGAATAATAAGTAATACAAAATTTCAAATTGCAATTTAAGCCAACAATTCTTATAAATGACAAAATGTCTGCTATTAAAAATGTCTAGGAACTGATAGCTTCATAAACTTCTTCCAAAAAATTAAAGAGAAGTTATTACTTCCAAAATCATTTTATAATGTCAGCATTATCCTGATGTCAAAACATGACAAGGATACTACATGGAAAAACGGCAACAACAACAACTACAGGCCAATATCCCTGACGGATCTACACAGACGCAAAAATCCTCAATAAAATACCAACAAAGATCAACAACATGTTAAAAAGATCATTCATCTTGATTAAGTAGGATTTATCCCAGTGATAAACTGATATGGTTTCTGTTTGCTGATGACATAATCTTATATATAAAAACCCCTAAAATCTCCACCAAAAAAACTGTTAGAAATAATAAATAAATTTAGTAAGGTCATAGGATACAAAATCCATGTGCAAAAATCGATAGCATTTCTATTCACTAAAAATCAACTATCTGAAAAAAATGAAGAAAAGAATTTTATTTTCAACAGCAATAATAACAAGAATAATAATAATTAGAACTAATGTATCCAAAGAGGTGAAAGACCTATACACTGAAAACCATAAAATATTGATGAATGAAATAGAAGACACAAATAAATGGAAAGATAGCTCATTTTTACTGATGGAAAAAATTAATATTGTTAAAATGGTCATGTTACCTAAAACCATCTAAAATTATTATAATCTCTTCAAAATTCTAATTTTTTTAACAGAAATGGAAAAAAATCCTCATATATGTATGCAACCATTAAAGACCCCAAATAGCAAAGCAATCTTCAGCAAAAAGAATAAAGCTTGAGCCATCACACTATGTGATATGAAAATCTATTGTAAAGCTATAAAAATCAAACAGATACTGACATAAAAACAGACATATTGGCGAATGGAACAGGATAGAAAACCCAGATATAAATCCAAGTATTTATGGTTAATTGTTTTTTGACAAATGTGCTAAGAACACATAATGGAAAAATGACAATATCTTTAATAAATAATGATGGGAAAATTGGATATCCATAAGCAAAAAAAAAAGAAATAAATGAAATTGGGCACTTATACCATAGACAAAAATCAACTCAAAATGATAAAGAACTTAAATGTATGACATGAAACAGTAAAGCTTATAGAAGAAGACATTGGGGGAAATCTCCACAACCTTGGTCTGGACAATGATTTCTTAGATAGGACACCCAAAGCACAGGTTAACAAAAGCAAAAATAGACAATTGGCTTTGCACCAAACTAAAATGCTTCTGCACAGAATAGAAAACAGTTAATAGATTGACATGATAGCCCACATATTAGAGAAAATATTTGTAAACCATACATCTGGCAAGGGGTTAATATCAAAAATATATAAGCAACTTGAACCACTCAATAGTAAGTAATCAAATTGCTTGATTTAAAAAGGGCAAAGAATCTGAATAACCATTTCTTTTCAAAAGGGATATGAATTATATATATAATATATAATATATTATATATAAATTTTATAATATATATAATATATATTTTATATATATTATATATATATATTATATATATTTTTTATAATATATATATGCTAAAAGTCTCTAATCACCAGGAAATTCAAATTAAAATCACAATATCACCTTACACCTGTGAGAATGGAGATTATCAAAAGGGTAAATGATAACAAGTGTTGGTGAGAATATGGAGGAAAGGGAATCCTTGTAAAATGTTGATAGGAATGTAAATTACAAAGTCATTTTGGAACATAGTGTGAATGTTTTTCCAAAATCTAAAATTAAAATTCCCATATGATCCAGCAACTCCAATTCTGAGTATGCATACAAAGGAATTGAAATAGGTATGTTGAAAAGATATCTGCACTCCCATGTTAATTTCAGCAGTATTCACAGTAGTCAATATAAGAAACCAATTTAAGTGCCCATGAATGAATGAATAAGGTAATATGGCACGTGCATATAATATAATAATATTAAGAATTAAAAAAGAAAGAAATTCTGCCATTTGCAACAGCATGAAACAAATGGAACTGGAAGACATTATGCTAAGTGAAATAAGCCAGGCGTAGAAAGACAATTATTGTATGATCTCATTTATATGTGATATCTAAAAAAGTCAATGTCACAGAAACAGGAAGTAGAAAGGTGGTTACCAGAGGCTAGATGTGGGGAGTGAGAAGAATGGGGAAAGGAGAGCTGTTGATTAAATTATGCAAATATTCAGTTAGACTGGAGGATAAAGTTTTAGTGGTCTAATGCACTGCATGGTGACTACAGTTAACAATATATTAATTAAAAATTGCTAAAATAATAGATTTTTGGCTGGGCACGGTGGCTCACACCTGAAATCCCAGCACTTTGGGAGTCTGAGGCAGGTGGATTGCTTGAGCTCGGAAGTTTGAGAGACGCCTGGGCAACATGGCAAAACCTGTCTCTACTAAAAATACAGAAACAGGCTGGGTGTGGTCGCACACGCCTGTAGTCTCAGCTACTCGGGAGGCTGAGGTACTAGAATCACTTGAGCCCAGGAGGAGAGGTTGGATCACACCACTGCACTCTACTCCTGGGTCACAGAGTAAGACCCTGTATCAAAATGATAATAATAATAATAGATTTTAATATCCTCACCATAAAAAATGATGTTAGTGAGGTGACAGATAAGTTCATTAGCTTCACTGACACTTTCCACAATGTATACATATTAAAACATCCCATTATTTCTCATAAATACACATAATTTGCTTCAGAGCAAGGAGACCAACGGAGTACCTAGGACAGCAGGAGCAGGAGGAACCAGATAGGAAGTGACAGCAGTAACCAGTAACACAGACCAGAGATGATGTCAGTTTGTGCCAGAAAAGTACAGTGGAGGTGGAAAGATGTTTTGAAGCTCTAGAAAAGAATTCGAAGAGTGTGCCAAGACAATTTATTGATGGATAAGATATGGTGTCAAAAAAGGGAATATTGGCTGGGCTTGGTGACTCACACCTGTAATCCCAGCACTTTGGAAGCCCGAGGTGGGCAGATCTCCTGAGGTTGAGAGTTTGAGACGAGCCTGGCCAGCATGGTGAAACCCGTCTCTACTAAAAATAGAAAAATTAGCCAAGCGTGGTGGCAGGTGCCTGTAATCTCAGCTACTCAGGAAGCTGAGGCAGGAGATTCGCTTGAACCCAGGAGGCAGAGGTTGCAGTGAGCCCAGATCGAGCCATAGCACTCCAGCTTGGAAAAAAAAAAGCGGGGGGGGGGGGGCAGGGGAAATATTATGGAAATAATAATGCAATCACTTTCTCTCAAAACAACTAAACTCTATGGGTAAGAACAATTTCTCTTTTCCCACCACTGTATTCTCAGTACCTACAATATGTTCAATAATCTTTAATACATGAATGAACCAATGGATGATTTGATCAATCTAATAAAATAACTAAATGATGTGGAAGCATATCAAATGAAAACCAACAAATATTTCATAATAATGCTATCAATAAAAAGTTGATTAGGAAAATTATAACATTTGGTTGCAAAGACTTCAATATCATATAATGTTAGTACTT
The DNA here is from genome assembly GCF_000001405.40 of Homo sapiens. Taxonomy (NCBI): domain Eukaryota; kingdom Metazoa; phylum Chordata; class Mammalia; order Primates; family Hominidae; genus Homo; species Homo sapiens. The sequence goes on along the minus strand of NC_000006.12, from coordinate 95,011,203 downwards.
TTCAAAAATAATTTGTCTGATTGGATAGTGTAATGAATGACAGAAACAGGTGACGTGAATACATATAGCATGTGCATGAAGACCAAAGTGAATATCAATGGCAAATTAAATTTCTTGAGTTGTAAACGTCTTCAGAATCATTGTGACTCAATATGTCATACTTAAATAGTTAAAACTCATGAATAGGGTTTTGTAAGTCTGATCAGGATTATACAACTAACTCAATATTTTCATATTTGGTTAAGAAATTTACAAATCTTTGAAGCTATGCCATTGGAGGGGTTAATTTTTCCATATTTACATTTAGTAAATTACTACATTAAATTGGTTATTACAATTTCTTATGAAAAGAAATTCCAGCTTCTTGTTATAGGTAGTGTAATGGTTAATTCTATATATCAACTTGGGTAAGCTATAGTACCTAGTTATTTAATCAAACAATAATCTAGGTATTTCTATAAAGGTATTTTATAGATGTAGTTAACATCTAAAACAAGTTGACTTTAAGTAAAGAAAATCACCTTCAATAATGTGAATGGGCCACATCTAATCAATTAAAGGCCTTAAGAGTGAAATCTAAAGATTTCTAGTGAAGTAGAAATTTGGCTTCAAGACTGAAGCATTAACTCCCACCTGAGTTTCCAGCCTGTTGGTCTTCCCTACAGATTCTAGATTTACCAGTCCACACAATCATAAAAGCCCTTTACTTAAATCTACATGTGTATATCTATAACTATAGCCATAGCTATATGTAGATACCTGTGCTACAGGTAGCAATGAACAATTTTTTTTTCAAATATTGGTCTTAATCAGTAGTGATTGTGAAAAAAAATGTTAGGGATATTTGCCAGCAGGTTACAATAAGATAGTCATAGATCAGTTAAATTTGAACTTCTGATAAAAGTGAGAAAGCCAAAGGAAATTGTTAGCAAATTCTTGATGAGATCCTGCCAAGCTCAAGCTCTAGAATTAGACAGGCTTTGTACAGATTTTGGCCTTGCCAATTACAGGGGCTCTTCGACAAACTAATAACTTCAAAGAATCCCAGCTTCCCATCTACATTATGATATTATTAATTATTCCTACCGTTTCTGGTGCTGCAAAGATTTAATGATGTCCTGGTTATAAAATACCAGCACAATGACTTGAATATAAAGAACATTCAATATATTAATGGTAATTATTATTTCTTAGTTTTAGAAGCGGAATTATGCCAACTGTGGGTGCAAAGATAAATAAAAAGATAGAAATCTAATTATAAATATTTACTAATATCTGAAGGGGGAAATGCCAGATATTTGAATAAAACAATTTCTAATTAATAAATGGAAGACATACTCACAGAGAAAAGAAAGCCAATCTTTCTAACTTAAACGCATTCTTCAACTGAAGAAAACATCTATATCTAAACAGGCAAGTCAGGTGCAAGTTAGAAATTGAAGAACCAACAGTGAATTTAAGGAATACTCTAAAGAACGCTGGAGGCAATAAAAGATAATGGGTAGTTGGTCAGGTTAAAGTATGAGACACTTTTCCTTTCAGCTCAAATTGTTTTGAAAGTATGAAGATGCTAACTAGCAATCTTGCCAATAAAGTATCCTTAATATATGGATTTTCTATCAAATGGTGGTCACTCTTCTCCTATAGTTTGCTTTTCCTTTTTGGAAGACACTGGGAACGTGACTGGGGGCAAGTAGAGTATTGGCAGTCAAGTGCTCCAGGGTATATTTGAATAAAATAGTAAGAGAGAGGGAGCTGAGGATGATTAAACTCCCCAGGATTGGTAAAGTTCCCTGACAGTGAAACCCTGGGGGTTTACTGGAAGGTAAAGCACTGCTTCTGACCTTGCTACTCCTTCCTAGCAAACATCATAGGAAGGTATTGTCACAGTCACTAGATTGAGATATAATGGAGTAATAGCTAAAGTTGGGTATGCTAATGACTTTCCTAGATCATAGTCATCTCCAAGAAATTACTGGAAATATTTGAAAATTGCAATTAAATTTTGCAAAGAATTTTCCTTAATGTAGTTTGAATGCAAAATAAATGCTTTATTTTGTTTTGCTTTTAAATCCATCCTCAATTTTTCTGCTCTACAGTACACTTCCTGATACAACTGTCTTAAATAGCATATCAAACTTTTTTATGTATTCGTTTTAATAATGAAATATAGCAAATTCTTTTTCATTAGGGAGCTTCTTTTATATGCAAATTTTTGGTAATAGAAACAGTCATAGAATGATTAGATGAATTAATTGTAAATCGTATTTTAGTTGAAGATTTATTTTTTAAAAAGCAGTAATGACAACTAGCTGTTTGACATACAGAAAAGAGCGTAATCTGATGTAGCTGCACGAGTCCATTTAAACACACAAAAACACACACACATTTTGCCTGCCCCTTTACAAAGTGTTTTAAAAAATCTATCCAGATGTAGAGAATAACCTTGAATAATTATTTGAAACACTAGAGATAATTTTAACATGCTCAGGCTCCAGCACCCTTGACAAGCTGCTGCCATTTCCCACCCTGCACAGACTTCCTCCTCACCCCACTTGGTTTCAATGCCCCATGACAAGATGCTGCCACCACCTTCCTTTGAAGATACGTGCCTTGCTCATCTGTACCTAGCAGCATTTTATGTGAATTATTCAGAAGAAAGAAAGTGGTAATATCTTTAGGGACTCTTTTAGTGAAGCATAGTGGCTATCACTTGAATTCTAGCAGTCCCAAATCTTCACTTTAGGCAGATGAACGGCTTTACAGAAAAACACCAAGGAAAACAAAACACATTCTGAAAGGGCTATTGTACTAAACTAATCCTGGACACAAACCACACTGTTTGAAACTTCTTAAAAATTGTAATATAAGCAGCAGAGAGTTGTTTCCTTACCACACTGAACACACATTTTATCCAAGGTTAGAAGCATACCAGTATTACCTGTGCTTTTTCTTTTATTTTCTTTTCCTCAAGTGGTCAGAGAAGATTGTAGAAATTAATGGTTTCTTGTGTAAACCAATACATAAATACAGTTATGCTCTTAATATTGGGGATACTTTCTGAGAAATGCATCTTTAGGGAATTTCACCATTTTGTAAATTTCACAGAGTGTGTTTACAAAAACCTACATGATATAGCTTACTACACATCCAGGCTATATGGTATAGACTCTTGCTCCTAAGCTACAAACCTGTACAGTATGTTACTGTACTGAATACTTCAGGCAACTGTAGCACAATGGGACACATTTGTGTATCTAAACATGGAATAGGTACAGTAAAGTTACAGTATTATAATATCATGGGGCCACCTTCTTATATGTGGTTCATTGTTGACCAAAATGTTGTTACATATGACTGTACTTGCATTTGTTAAATGATATGCAAATCTGTTCTATTGTCTTTCAGCAAGTCTCATTTATTAGAATTCCTCTGATTATTTCTCTGCTAAAGAGTTTGTATAATGCAACTATTGATGTGACTATGCTATATAACAAACTATCCCAAAATTACAATGGCTTATAAAAACTAGCAATCATTTCTTTAATACACAAGTTCGAGAGTCAGTGTGGATTATGAACAGCAGGTGTATTTCCAGAACAGCTCCCTGTTTTTCTCAGGTAGAAGTAGCAACATGGGGCAGGCCTTTCTCATGGTGAAAGGCATGAACACAAGTAGATAAGGAAAACACTGCCAACACATTCAGGATTTTTCTAATATCCCATTTTTTCCAGTGTGGCAGGGATACATATTCCACTGAATGTGTACCATGGTAAAAATGGAGAATGATGAAAGAATTGTGAAAAATATACACTTGATTTCACAGTTTATCTCCAAGTGAGACTCAGCTATTATAATGTTGACAAACTTAAATTACTCAAAAAAAGAAATGGTTTCTCCTAGGTTTTACAATAGGATATAGTCTCTTGATGCGAAGTCTTTTCAATTCTAGAGGAAATTTTAATTAAACTTCAGTATGACAACTGTAATTTGTAATAAAAGCAGCGTTCTACTTTAGTGAAGAACTGTATTTTTTTACATCAGTGATATTATCATCTCCTCATGCTTCCAGGCAATAATATCTAGTATTACATTTTTAACCACATTTATATAAATGCAGTCAACAAACATTATAGACTAAGTAATGGAAGACTCCTTGAGTTTCAATAATTTCCTTGATATGTTTCCCAAAGGCAAAATATTTTATATTGAGATTTGTGGAGACAGTATGCTATTGTTTGGTGACAATGTCATAATTGCTCATTACTTTGAAGAAAGTGGCTCCCTAGCTGTGAAATTCTAGGTGAGCCAGCAATCTATTAGGAGAAGTCAATCCTTCTGGGATAAATTACGCTATAGATTTATTGTTAATAAATTCATTATTAACTACCAGTGTTTTCTTTTTATATGGAGAAGAAGATTTCAAGGTGAAAAAACAAAAGTCAAATTTTAAACTTTTAGAGAGTGAAGAATAGTGAAGGAAATCGATTTAAGAAGAGCATTAAGTTGTGTAGGACTAAATCTAAAAACGCTCATTAATGAAGGTCAAAAATAAATATTTGGAACAGAGACTACATGGAAATTTTTGAAAAAGATACTACATTATTATTGTTATATGAACCATGTAATCCTCTAGACTTCAAATTCTATAAACGTTCTATGTATATGTAGGCTTATATTTGTATTACTAGTCCGTAGCATTGAATTTAAGAAATAAATGCTTATTTTAGAAAATGTATTCCAATTTTATAAAGATTAGATATGGAGCTGGGAGAGTTAAAAAACAGCAGAAATCAGCTAAAGAAAATCATTCAGGATCTAAATTATTTCTTACAACATGGTCCAGCAAGAAAGAAGGCTGACAGATAATTTAAGTGAGGGGATTTTAAACAGAAGAAGACCTATAGGGTGAGGACAGCAAAAAGGAAACAAACATAAGGTAGGTAAATAGAGGCTAGAAAAGAGTAGTAAGCCTTTGTGACTGTTAGGATTGAAGGAGCAAAGGGAGAAAACTGTTACAGAAGCCCAATGACTGTTGGAACAATGTGGGAGTAATCAGCTGGTAAGATGAGGTTCTGAAGGGTTACAAGTACTGCAAGAAACACACTGCTGAAAGACATAGAAGGCAGATGAAAAAAAAAAAAAGCCTTCTGATCTGTCTCATATCCCCATCTCTTGCTGGTCCTTTTCATTAGTTAAATCCAACTGGAAGCCAGCTAGCAGGGAAACCCTGGCATTGCAATGCTCAGGGATGGAACTTCCAGGGAAGGAAGCAAGACAGAGAAGGACAAAGATTGCATTTGGGGGTGGGGCGGTATCTAGTGTACACCTTCCTCTACAAGAGTGATTACCTGAGTATAGAGAGGATAACAACAATATGAGCACAAGACCAGTGGTGGCAATACAGTGAGCATAGAGTCACACAAACAAAATTGGCGATGACCAGTAGAAAAGAATGAGGTGTAAAGCAATGAAAGTGCAAGTATTTACTCCCTGTTAAAAAAATGTGTGTCTTTCTGGGACACTACCAGAGAAAGAATGGAGAGTAAATTGTGGTAATTCAACTGAGAGGACTCATATACAAAGAGTAAATCTGCCATTAAGGGATAGAAACCTGAAGAAATATAACACAATTATCTTAAAAGATATAAAATAACTCTACACATGCTGTAGTGTAACCTGTTAATGTTTTTATATTCTCATTGTGTTTTAAATAAAAACAAATACCCTCTTAATGACTTTTAAATCCTACCTAATATCTCTTGCATTACTACAGATCATGCTTTTATTATGAACATTTCCCCCAGCATTTATAAAGATTATCAAGTATATTTTATACATGGATGCCAAGTATATATTTTATTCGCTCTAGTTTAAACAAATAATATTGTGGAAATTTATATAACAAGTTACTTTACATACTGCAGATTTTATTTTCATATTTATAGCAGAGTATGTAGTTATGAGTCATTTTTCATCTTGTTCAGGAATTTGAGATTGAAGCTTCCTTTTTCATCTTTGGGAAGTTTGAAGCAATGGAGGAAAATATAATATATATGAACTTAAAATATTCTGAATTATTCCTTACCCTGAAGTTGTATTTATCGGCATGCATTCCTTTTCAGATGTAAAAATATTTTTGTTAAATTAATGAAGATAAAAGATATCGTGCTACTTTCATCTCTTGAAGAATTTGGAGCGGTATTCCAAATTGATAAGTGGCAGTAGAAAGATTTTTTTCAAAAATTAAGTTTAAGAAATGGTTGTTTGAAATCCTTTAAGCTTATATTATCTAGTGTGGGAAAGCAAACTATGGACTGCAGGCCAAGTCCTGCCTATTGTCTGTTTCATAAATAAAGTTTTATTGGGACACGACAAATTTTTATTTTATTTGTATATTAACCATGAAATATTTCACAGTAAAAGAGCAGAGTTATGTTGTTGCAAAAGAGACCTTATGACCCACAAAGTCTAAAATATTTACTAGATGGTACAAAAAAAATTGTCCACCTATGGTATGTAAGATGTCCTCCAATGATATTAAGGAAGTAAGAGGTTTGGCTGGTGTATTTCTATTTAGCAGAGATTGTGAAGAACTTTTGAAAGCTGGCAAGGAGACAAGATGGAATCAATGAAGAAAGATACAAGACAAAACGTAAGCAGGAAAGGCTACTTGAGAAGGTGGGAGCAACACTAAGAGTGATCCATCTACAAAGGGGGTGATCATAGAGGCAGGAGTTTGCCAAAGGGTAACTATCAAGGTTGGACAGCAACCTTGATATTTATCCGTTGGCAAGAGCCTGAGTAGGGACCTTCATCTGTGAACTTCCTCCAACCTTTTGAGCCAGAAAGCAGTAACAGTGGTGTTTTCCTCCATACTTTTAGTGACAACAAGGTAATACAAGGTGGGTCAAAAAATACTATGCCTCTCATGTTAATAATATTAGTTAGGAAAACACTCCATCCAGCAAGATTGATATATTTTAGTTCTCTGGTTCTGTTTACACAAGCAACTGTGCTAGCTTCTGAAGCAAGTCCTGTCCAATTGAATATTTATATATAAATTGTACAAGCCAACTTAGTAATATGTCTAATAAATAAACAAATACAAATCTCATGCACACACATACACTCGGACATATACATGACATACATCGATATATCTGTATCTATATCTATCTATCCATCATCAGATGTTGAGAGAAACCTATAGCACAAAAGAGCAAAGGCATAATAATGAATTAGCAGAAATAACTTTCGATAAAGGTAACAGAGATAACTGAGAAAATAGACCAGGAATACAGAGTCAAAACATTTAACATCTTCAGAGAAATGCACTAAGGAATAGAATACATATAAGAAATGCTAAATGTTATTACAGATATTTAACATGGATCATTTGAGTTAAAAACAAAACTAAACTAAATATAAATGATAGACATAGCTGAAGATATTTCTGATATATCTAAATTCTTTTAAAAAGTGCAAGAAACAAAGGTTAATTGAAGTGGAAGAAACTTCCAATGTCTCTTTCATGTTTTAAAATTAATTCCAGAGAATGACTAGAGAGGATAAATGATAAACAATATTCAAAGAATTCACAAAAAGTTCCCAAAAATAGGAGTAAAGAAAAAAGAACAGTCACATTAAAAGACCCCAGTGAGGACTCATCTATTGAGTAAGACAAATTAATAGTAATATAAATAAAATAATAATGTCAGCAACTATCCAAAAATATGGTAAAGACAATAGAAAGGGGGAAAAAAAACCCTTAGATTAGAGTCTGCTAATTAACGAGAATCAGAAATATCTCAGATTCCTCACTACCAAGACACAAAGATGGGAACAATAGACATTGGGGACATCAAAAGGTGGGGCTGAGGGAAGGGCTGAAAAACTACCTATTGTGTGCAATCCTCATTGCCTGGGTGTCAGGTTTATGTCTCAGCATAATGCAACAAACCTGCACGTAGCAAACCTGCACATGTACCCACTGCATCTAAAATGAAGGCTGACATTTTTCAAAAACTAATAAAATAAACTATTAATACTACTATTTACCATAAATTGTAACAGTATTTTAAAATTTTTCAGATAATAAATATTACACTTAGGATTCTATAGTTATTGCTAACACAGTGTAATGACAAAATAAACATACTTTTAAACAAAGTGAAAGAAAGTAGACAAGTTACTCCCTCAAATCTTCTCTGAGGGAATTATCAAAAAAATTTTTCCAATTAACTGAGCAAGTAATCCAAAGAAAATGGTAAGCTAATCATTTGTATAGCAAAAGCTGAAGTTAGCACACACTGGCAAATCTAAATAAAAGTTATATATTTATTAAAAGAAATATTAATCAACCTATATATGACAGTACATTTTATCCTTAATCATCCTGTATAAAACAGTACATTTTATACTCATTGCTCTGCTTTTTAAAATTATTAAAATAATTATTTGAAATAAATGTACATGGCTGACATTCAATACGTATTGATTTAGTAGTCTATTATTTGTCATAGTCTAAAAGTAGATCAGCTCCATGAGGTCAGAGATTTGTTTTGTTTATTGCTGTATAGTGGACACTGAGAATGATGTTAAACACATGGGAGGTACATAGTAAATATGTTTAAATAAGTGAAAAACTGATGGATTAAGTCAATATTGCAGTAAAATAAGAAGTACTATGCAGCCATTGAAAATGCTGTAGCATTATTTTATTAATACAGAATGATTGTTTAAATGAAAGATGTTGCTTATTCATTTCATTTTATGAGACTGGATAAGCCTTCATAACAAAGAGAAGAAAAAAGAGCTTTGGAATAATCTTTTATATAAACAGACTGACAGAAAGGGAGAATAGAACAATCATTAAGTATATTAAGTGAAAAGCATCAATCTGACCTATTAGATTTATCCAGATATGCAGGTGTAGTTTAACATTTTAAAACATGTTATATACAATAGTATCTACTCTGTTAATAAAGAAGAGAGGCTTAACAGAATTCTCTCAATAGACCACAAAACAAATATCCAATGAATTATATCTAATATGTTTTAAAAAGAAATATATACTTTAATAAAAATCTCATAAATAACTTAGAAGAGGGCAAACTTTCTTATGTGGAGATTGAGTCTAAAAACATATTATAGTAAGAATCATACATAATGGCTAAATATTAGAAACATTTTATTAAAGAACGGACTAGGATACTGGCTTTAATCCCAATATTAACTTTGTACTGAAGTTCCAACCAACTTATATACAGATAAAGAAAGAAACAAGTGAAATTAATGTTGGAGAGGAAGAAATAACATTCATTCTCTAGATAATATAATTGCACTCCTAATACAAACTCGTTAATGAACTGAGAAAACACTGAAAAATTAAGTGTCCTTGTAATTCCGCATAACATGTATTGGGTACTTTACATTTCTCAAATATTAGAGATTTTTTTATGTGTGTTACCTTATTTATTTTTATGACAACCTTTTGAAATAAGTTCTGTAATTTTAGCCACTTTACAAATGAGAAAATTTAAGTATACAAAATTATAATTAATTTTGCTATGGTCACATAACTTGTAAGTGGCAAAACTGGGGTTCATTATGGCTCTGAAGCTCATGATTCGAATTAGCAAGCTTTAACACCACTTCTATTTCAGTAATGTCCAATTAGAAATATACATAAATAAAAAGATCAATATTAATTGCAGCTATGATCTATTAAATGATTAGAAATAAACCTAAGAAAAATCTAAGACATTTCAGAATAAAATACTGAAATGTAATGTAAATAAAATATGAATAAATAAAATATAAACCAAAGTAATGGCAGGAAGAGTCATGATGATAAAGAAGCCAGACTCTCCAAATTAATCCATAAATTTAATCCAAACTAACTAAAATCCCAATACAATTATTACAAAATTTGTCAAACTAATTGTCAACTTCATCCAGCAAAGTTATATAAGAACAAGCAACATAAATTGAAAAAAACCAAACCAAGTAATAGATCTTACTCTACCAAGTACCAAACTACATTATAAGTACAAAAAACTAGTAAGGTAATAACCAATAATAAATAATAAATTAGTAGATTGATAGAACAGAGTCCACAAAGGATTTTGTACCTTTTGAAAATTATTAAGTATAAAAATTACTCCAAATTTAGAATAAGTTAATACTATTTGTAATAATAAATCTCAAAATTAAAAAAGCATAAACTTAACAAAAATGATAAACACAATCAAAAATTATTAAACATGTAATATACATTTAAGCCTCTAAAGTAAATACAGAAGAATATTTTTATAACTTTAAGGAAAGCATTATTAAGACAAAAATAAACATCGCAGAGGAAAATATTAAACAAAGTTTCCACTATAACTGAAGCATCATTATTAAGGTTAACATATAAGTATAGTAGAAAATGTCTGCAGAACTCACACAAAATTAGTATATATATAATAAATAAGTAACTATTACAAATCAATAGAAAAATAAAGGATGTGGAAACACAATGATAGGGAAATCATACTTCTGATAACTACTCAGCATAATGCTTACACACATGTTCAAGAAGGCCTATAAAGAATAGACACTATTTGGAACCAGGAATCATCAGATAATATTTAAATATTCATTATAAGGGAAACTATTGTATAATTCATACTTTGATATATCATGAGGCAAGTGAAAAGATTAAGGAGAAAATGCATATATTGACATCAAGTAAAATCTGTAAGGCACATGGACCAACTGCAGAACAACAAAACATGCAAATTTTTAAAGACAAGCAAAGAGTGTACAAGGCCATAAGAAAATGGCACTGTCATCCTAATAACGATGAAAACACCCCCTAGATAATCTGTAAAATTTAAAGCTACTTGATTTTATCAAATGAACTGAATTCCAAAGAGTGACCATTAACTCCAAAAGAGGAACAGTTACATGAACTGCTTCACTTTGGGTAAATCATAAGAAGAAATAAGTAAACAAGAAAGAGATAAAATTTGAATGCCTTCTTAAAAGACTGTTATGAGCATTTACAATCCCTGGGAGAAACAAACAGATGACAAGACATTGCAAGAATTTGCTGTCAAGAACAATCAAGGGTCTGAGATTTTATCCTACTTACAAGCTAAGATTTTAGCATACTACAGTTTCATGGATGCTAGTAGAGGACACAAGACTACTGAGTCAGAGATAAAGGATTTTAATACTCATGTTTCAAGAAGCAGAAGGACCTTCAGGTTTACACTAGTTTTCTTTGTCCCTGAAGTCCCATAAGGATAAGCTGGAGGTGGCCCATGTGGATGCTGTCTCCAGCAAACTAATCAATGATGAGAGCTGTCTGGTGGAAAATGGCTCTGATCTGGGAATGGAAGACCTAGCATCGAGTTAGTTTAAGGGGCTTGCAGCAATTTGAAACAACTATCCCATGATATTATTTCTCTGAATCTCCATGGACAGTTATAAAAAATAAAAGACAATGCCATTCTTACATATTATCTCCACATGGAGATGTGTTAGTCTGTTTTAGCATTAGTATAAAGGAATACCTGGTGCTAGGTAATTTATAAAGAAAACAGGCTTAATTGGCTCACAGTTCTGTAGGCTGTACAGGACTGGTACCGGTATCTGTTTCTGGTGAAGGGCTCAGGAAGCTTGGAATCATGGCAGAAGGTGAAGGGAGATCCAACATATCCCCATGACAAGAGTGGGAAAAAAGAGAGAAGCAGGGATGTGTCACACGTTTCCAAAACAATCAGTTCCCCTGTAAAGTAGGAGAGAACTCACTTATTACCATGATGAGGACACCAAGCCATTCATGACGGGTCTACCTCTTTGACCCACACAACTCCTACTAGGACCATAACAACTTTGGAGGTCACATTACAACTTGGGGGTTGGAGGGGAAACACATCCAAGCCATATCAGGAGAATTATCTACCAACTCTTCAAAGCTTTTAATATGGGTCAATACCAGATGCTCTCAAGATGCATCGGGCACAGAACAGTGAACCAGATAAAGCACCCACAGTATAGTGCATACATACAAAATCTCACCATATTCCTGACCTTACTCTCTTATGAAAGAAGTCCTCAAGCTATTGGAAGAGTGTAAAACACCCTCTCAAATAAAGAACCCAGAGATTATGTACTACCTTGGATGACAGAAAATAAACAAGCTGTCTGCTACTGAGGAACAACTGGAAAAATCCACTTGGGCTGAAGATACTAAACTGATGAAAGGCAGTTTGACTACCAATCTGAGAGGATATACACACTCCCTTCCAACTCATGATTTTCCATAGATATAAGAAACTGGCTTCCATGAGAACGAAGAGTAAGAAGCTAAGAAACCCCTATCCCTGAGGCCCAGGCATACAAAACCTGTCTAGGAATAAAGAATGACCAGCAGAGCTGAGAACTACCCTGCCCTCCAAATTACACTTGCATGCAGTAAAATCCACAACAATCTAAAACTGGGGGAAGGGCAAGAATGTCCATATAGAACATCTCTGTGTTGCAGGCATCTAGGTCTAATAGAAGAAGAGGATAAAACACTGTGAATGACTTAGTAGCATCACACCATTGAATAAATTTGAACTTTGTAGTGTGCTGACATAATTACAGCAATAACAAAAGTTAAACTCTGCTCAATAATTGACTCAGTTGAACTCCCCACACCAAAAGCTTGAAAGAGAAAGAGGCATAAATTCTATTTATTGCAGTTTCTTATGTTCTTTGGCCTATAATGCCTATTATTCCATCAAAAATTACCAAAAATATTGTCAGAATACATAATTGATAGAACTAGACCTAAAGAAGTACCATATAAAAATATAAAAAGTTTTAAAATTATGACAAGAGCATAATAGAGAATTTTGTTAGAGAGATGGAAAATAGAAAAAAAAAAGAGTCACATGGAAATGCTACAAAAAAGATATCAAATACAAATATTCCTTTGACAGTTTTATCAACAGAATGGATACAGTGGAAATAAAAATTGTAGTTCAAGAGAAATTATCCAAACTAAAATACAAAAAAATTAAAAAATTTAGAATATGGTATCCTGTGGGACAATACCTAATGGTCTAACGTATGTATAATAATTGAAGTCTTGGTAAGAGAATTTAGAAGGCATAGGGAAGAAGATAAATTTGAGGAGAAAATGGTATAATCACACACACACATCTCAGACAGGCACCGTTAATTGTTGACACTAGCAATCGAGAGAAGATATTGAAGACTTCCAGAAGATTAAAAAAAAAAGAAAATATCTACAGAAGAACAAAAATTTAGAATTAGAGTTGGCTTTTGTTAAAAATCAAGAAAAATCAGAGGACAATTGAGTGACGTTAAAATGCCTTAAAAATAACAACTAACAATTTTATGTATAATGAACATATATTTTAATAATGAAGTCAAATAAAAGATATTTCAGATGAACAAATTCCAGAGAATGCATCTTACACAGAACTGCCCTATAAGAAATGGTAAAGGAAGGAGTAACATCAAATGCAAATTTTGATAAATATACTAAATAGATAAAACACAATAAATCAATCAAAAGTGTTGCTAAAATTGTACATAAATTAAAAATACATTTTTCTTATTTTACATTCTTTAAAGAATAACTGCCTATTAAAAATAGTGATGATATATTTGAGGAATTATGTTATTTATAGAATAATGTATGACAAAAATAGCACAAGGTATGGAAAGTGATAAACAGAAAGTTTCTTACACTGTACGTGAAGTGGTATAAGAATACATGAAGATAGAGTATTATAAAGTAAAGTCTTATATTGTAAACTTTAGAGCAAACACTCAAAAGGGTGTATTAACTAATAAGTTATACAAGATAAACAAGACCATATATTTTATATTAATTTTATAAATATTAATCACCCCAAAAAGCAAGAACAAAGGGAAAAGGAAAAAAAAATACATGGGTTTAAATCAAAGCAACTATTAATATGACAGATTCAAATCAAACCATATAAGTGGACTGATCATCATAGTTTTAATTATCAGATTGAATAAAAAAGCAAGAAATCCATGAGTCAAATATGAAGGGACAGAGGCAAAATAAAGTATTTTGAAAAGAATAAAAATCAAAATACAGTATATTAAAAATATTGGGATCAGACAAAGCAGGGTTTATAGGGAAATTCATAGCATTATATACTTATATTAGGAAAGTAGAAAAGTTTCAAAATAATTGTGTAGGTTTCCATCTTAAAAAACTTGGGCTTGTAGAGTAAAATAAACCAAATTGAACAGAATGATGGAAATAACATAGAAATAGAAATGAATGAAATTGAAAACAGAAAACAAACTGTGAAAATCAGGAAAACCAAAGCTATTTCTTTGAAAAGATCAATAAAATCAATAAAATTCTAGCAAACCTAATAAAAAAAAAGAGAGAGGAAATAAATTACCAATGTTAGGAACAAAAGTCAGTACTAAGTTCACAGGAATTAAAATAATAATAAGGGAATAATATAAGTGACTTTATGTAAATCAGTTCAGTAACATGAAGACAATTCTACATGTAGATGAAAGTCACAAACTATCAAAACTCATTGACATAAAATATATAACCTGAATATTCTTAGCTCTATTAGAAAAATTGAATTCATGGTTAAACTTTCAAAAAAGAATCTACTTGCATGTTTACACTGAAGAATTCTTCAAAATGTTTAAAGAAGAAATAACATCAATTCTATAAAATTTCTTCAAAAAACAAAAAAAATCAATTTTTAAAAATAAATTTTATTGTACATATTTAAAGTATACAACATTATATTATGAGAGACATAGAGAAAACTGCTTACTATAGCAATGCTAATTAACATGTACATCATCTTACATTGTTACCCATTTTTTTTTGGTGTGTGTGTGACAAAAACAGCTACAATCTGCTCATTTAGCAAAAATCTTGAATACAAAAAGCATCATTAATTATAGTTCTCATGTTTTATATTAAATCTCTAGAATTGTTCATCTTACGTATTTGCTACTTTCTATCCTTTGACCAACATTTCCCATTTGCTTCATCCCAACCAATCCAGCCCCTGGTAACCCTGTTTTATTTTCTCTCTTTGCATATTTGACTTTTTGTTAAGATTCTATAAAAGTGAGATAATGTAATATTTTTCTTTTTGTGTTGGCTTATTTCACTTAGCATAATGTCCTCTAGGTTCATTCACGTTGTGGCAAATAACAGGATCTCCTCCAGTTTTAAGTCTGAAAAATATCCTGTTGTGTATTCTATCACAGTTGCTTTATCCATTCATCCATTGATTGATATTATTACTTAAGTTGTTTCCACATCTTGGCTACTATGAATAATGCTGCAGTGAACAGGGGAGTGCAGATATCTTTTACTTGGTGGTGATTTCATTTTCTTTGGATCTATATTTAGAAGAGTAATTGCTGGGTCATGTGATGGTTGTATTTTTCATTTCTCTAAAAATCTCCATGCTGTTTTCCATAATGGCTTCACCAATCTACAGCCACAAAAAGATAGTACAATAAAGGAAAATGCAGGCTTAACATCCTTCATGAATACAGATGCAAATTTCCAACACAATATTAGCAAATTGAATTCAACAATACATGAAAAGAGAAATGCATCATAAATATGGTTCATCCCAGTAATGCGTGGCTGTTTTAACATGCAAAAATAAATCAACCTAACCTAATATATTAATAAAATAAAGAAAAAATAGATAATTATGTCAACTGAGGCAAAAAATAATAATTTCAAAGTGTCACATTTATTCATTGTAAAGACAAACAAGAAACTAAGGCAGGCATCATATTGGGTAGTGAAAAGCTGAATTCCTACCATTTTAAATTGGGAACAAGGTAAGGATATATATTCTGAGCATACTTATTCAATATCTTACCATAAGTCTTAGCCAATGCGTTGAAGAGAGTTTCTTTTTCTTTTTTTTTTTATCATACTTTAAGTTTTAGGGTACATGTGCACAATGTGCAGGTTGGTTACATATGTATACATGTGCCATATTGGTGTGCTGCACCCATTAACTCATCATTTAACATTAGGTATATTTCCTAATGCTATCCCTCCCCCATCCCTCCACCCCACAACAGGCTCTGGTGTGTGATGTTCCCCTTCCTGTGTCCATGTATTCTCATTGTTCAATTCCCACCTATAAGCGAGAACAGGCGGTGTTTGGTTTTTGGTCCTTGTGATAGTTTGCTGAGAATGATGGTTTCCAGAGAGTTTCTTAAAATTTTTTTTCAAAGGTAGAAATTGAAAAGGAAGAAATAATTGTCTTGTTTGTAAAATGGCTTACCCTTCTACATAGAAAATCCCAAGGATTGTAAAATAACCTCCTAAAACTCATGAGTAGGTTTGCCAGTGATAAATAATAAAAAAAATCAGCATATAAATAACAATAATATTTATATATACTGTCAATAGATATTTGGAACTAAAATTAACAAAATGTGTATAATACATTAACAAATCAAATACTTAGAAAAAACAGAACATTTGCAGGATGTATATGTGGAAAACTAAAATATTATGGAATTAAAATTCAAAGAAGATTTAAATAACTGGAGACAGACAGTGTCTATGGATTGAAAACTCAACATAATTAAGATTCTAATTTCCCTTATGTTTAGATGTAGTGCAATTTCAATCAAAACACAGTAGGGTAATTATAGTTAACATTAATTTATTGTATATTTCAAAATAGCTAGAAAGGAGGATTTGAAATATTCCCAAAACAAAAAGAAATGACAAATGTTTGGGGTGATAGATATATTATCTACCCCTATTTGATCATTACACATTATATGTGTGTATCAAAATATCACATGTATGCCATAAATATGTACAATAATTATGTATTAATGAAAAAATTATCAATTATCAATATTATTTTTAGATCTTGGGAAAAACACTCAGAATGCATTTCTGTAGAATATTGACAGAATGATTTTTAAAAATATAATGAAAAAAGAGCTTAGACTAATAAAAATTTTTGAAAAATAATTTAGAGTACTCACTCAAACTGATTTTAAGGCTTACTATCTGGTTATAGTAGTCAGTACACTGTGGTTTTGTCATAAAAATATAACTCTAGATTAATTTTCATCTAGGCTGGAACCCAAGATGGCTGCACTCTTGCTGAGGCTTGTTGGCCGTCACTGCCTCCAAGCCCACTTTAGCCCTCAGCTCTGTATCAGAAATGCTGTTCTGATGGTTGCTTTGGGAACCATGGCCAAAGAAGAGATGAAGCAGTTCTGGAATAAGAACACAGGTTCAAAGTGTTTTTATCTCCCCACATCATTATCTACAGTTGATCTCTTCCCATGGTGATGTCCATCTGCCACCGTGGCACTAGTATTGCTTTAAGTGCAAAGGTCTCTTTTTTTGGCATGTAGGCCCTGTTGCTCCCTGGGAACTTTGAGTCTAATTTGGAACTCCTGAAGTCCCTGTGTCTGGGGCCAGCACTGATTCTCACAGCTAAGTTTGCACTCATCTTCCCTCTCATGTATCATACCTAGAATGGGATTCAACACTTGACGTGGGACATATGGAAAGGCCTGAAGATTCCCTAGATATACCAGTTTGGAGTGATTGTCTTGGCTCTTAATTGTGTTGTTCTCTGTAGGGCTGGCAGCCATGTGAAGAGTGGAAGTTCCCAGCATCATCTTCCTACACATGATTACATTCACCTGTCTCCCTGTTTGTCACTCTTATCTCCAGCCTGGGCAAAGTTCTCCTCATTAGTTTAGATCCTTTTGTGCTTTCTGATACCCTTGGAGCTCAGTAGCAGTAGAGTAACTGGAAGACCATAGTAGTGGAAAAGGGTCCCTTTCCTGCCCACAGTTTGCCTACCGTGGGCCTAGAAGCACTTATTTTCTCTATATATTGGGCTTTGATTTGTGCTGAGGGTCAGCTTTTGGCTCCTTCTTCCTGAGGCAATGGAAACAATGGCAGGTGTATGGCCTCTGCCCTGGGGGCCGGAGGTGAGATTTTTAGTGCCACTGCCTGTGGGTTGCTAGCTTAAAGGACAATGATGTTCATTGGTCAAAGCTCAGGCCTTTACCAACCACACAGTGTTATTGAAAGAAGAGAGTTGGGGGTAGAGAAGAACTAGTTTATCCCAGCTAGAGGGAGACAAAGCGGGGTAGTTATTCCTTGGAGCAGCCGTTTTGAGGAGAAAATATATAGTTTTTGACACAAGAAGATCCAGAAAATTATCATGGAACATATTAGAGTTTATTTATTTTTCTTGCCTATTTTCAGCAAAACAAACCTCTTAATTTCAGGTTTTCTAATTCAAGTCCATGTATCATGTTTTTCTGAAACTGAATTAAAATACTCATTTTTAAAAAAGAATGTACCTCTAGGTTAGAAAAATGTGTCAAGTCTATAAAAAAGCTTGAAGAAATATGGTCAGTTGCTCTAATAAAGGAGCAAAGGCAATTCAGCCTGTTTAACAAATGATATGAAAACAATTTTATTCCCTCAATATGCATAAAAGGAAGCCCTAATCTATACCATATACCATATACTACATACAGATTAATTTAACTGTCTGTAAATTAACTGTCTGTAAACTCTTTTAGTCAATAAACCAGACTAAAAGAGTTAAGAAGAGTACGATACTTTTCATTTTTAAAAAATAACACATTCTATACACACAGAGTGTAAATGTGTAAATTCACATGGAGTAGTTAAGTAATACACTTAACAAGTATATAATTCTAAGTATATTGTTATAGGGGATGATGGTCAAAGGGGACTCTGGGTTTTCTATAAATGTTTAAAAATATTAATTTAGTGCCAGCATTTTTATATGGCTTCACAAACATATTAACACTTTAAATTCTCAAAGAAACCATAAAAGGTAGCTATAATAATTATCTCTGTATTAAAAGGATATTAAGGCACAGAGATGAAAAGTAACATTGATGAAGTCACATTTATTGTACCTGGTACATACATGATTTAACCCAAAGTGTCTTGCTCTAGGTAACCTTCCTTTAACTGTGAAGTCATCTTGCATCTCTGCTCTGCCTCACTTCTACTCTGAGTTGTACAAAACTGCCATTATAAATAACCTATGAGACACAAAAATCTAATAAATGAGAGGAAAA
The DNA here is from genome assembly GCF_000001405.40 of Homo sapiens. NCBI lineage: Eukaryota > Metazoa > Chordata > Mammalia > Primates > Hominidae > Homo > Homo sapiens. The sequence continues at coordinate 94,992,039 of NC_000006.12, read as the reverse complement.
AAGAAAAGTCACACTGCTGCAGAGTCTCTACATGGACTTGTAAAATAAGTTACCAAAGATAAGTCATAATAAAAACACATGGGTGAGAATCAAACACAAGCTCCCTCAATTTGTACTGTTGAACCATTTTTTAGCAAACAAAATGTACTGCATCAGAGCATCTTGACATTAGTTTTAGTGTTTTTGTTTGTTTGTTTGTGTCTGACGGAGTCTCTCTCTGTCACCCAGGCTGGACTGCAGTGGCGCGATCTTGGCTCACTGCAAGCTCCGCCTCCCGGGTTCACGCCATTCTCCTGCCTCAGCCTCCCGAGTAGCTGGGTCTAAAGGCGCACGCCACCACGCCCGGCTAATTTTTTTGTATTTTTAGTAGATACAGGGTTTCACCGTGTTAGCCAGGATGGTCTCGATCTCCTGACCTCGTGATCTGCCCGCCTCGGTCTCCCAAAGTGCTGTGATTACTGGCGTGAGCCACCGCGCCCAGCCTAGTTTTAGTTTTACTTCAAGAGCCTCAGGTTTCTTTCGAAACTTTTTAATTAAAAAATCAGTGATTATTTTATTTTCAATAACTGAGTAAAGCTTTACTTGAAAGAGCATACAAATCTTAAAGCTCCAAAATGATCTTTTTTGATCCCATATCTCACATCCAGGTCATGCTGATGCAAGTGGTGGGTTCCAATGACTTGGGTAGTAGCATTGTCCCTGTGGCTTTACAGATACAGCCCCCATCCTGGTTGCTTTCACAGGCCAGGTGAATTAATTGCATATAATTGTACAATATTTCTTGCAAAGTACTTAATAGTGGATACATAAAATTAATGCTTCTTCTTGAGCAGAAATTGATACATTTCTAGTAGCTTTTCAGTAATTTGATTTGATGTATTAATTTTAATTGTTTCACTACAGCATTTCATTTTTACCTAATTTAATTAATTTTAATCATAAATAAATGTTACAGCATTTTGTTATATGCAACAGATAATTTAATTGCTGCATGAGATCAGTGGGCCTTTGTTTTTCAGGTGGCTACTTGTGGTCTCTAAGTGTGAAATAAATTGTCAATCTGTTGCCCCAATCCAACTGGTATTTTGACTTCAGCCATTATAATTGTTGAAAACCTTCATACAAATACATAATAATTTATTATTTTATCTTTAAGATTCTCAACCATTCAATTCCTGTGCTATTTTTATATATATTTTATCTAAAATTCTTTTTAATGACAATATTCAAGTCAGTTTACAATCAATTAAATGTTATCTCAAGAAGCATAATCACATTTATAACTCTGTTACTTCCCTTCAGTGCATGACATGCTACAAAATTATTTGCCCCCTAGTTACACTCACATTTTTATGAATAACTTTTACAATACCAATTATTTCTTTTTTTATAAACCTCTTTTTTTCTGATTTATTCTGTTGTCATGGACTTATGCTTCTATGTAGAATTACTAACTCACAGATTAAGTCACTAAAACACGAGTCTGTCATTTCTAAAGATGAAATAAAATGTGACACTTACATTTTTTTATAAAGCAGCAGGTCAAATATAGTCCAAGGAAAAGGTCCAAAGGAAAAATAGTCTCCAACTTTCCATAAGATATCCATCTGATAAATAAATTGAATGACTTATCATTAAATCTAAGCCATTTGCGTACTCTTTTGCACATCAAAATGATAGCAGTTTGGCCAATAGTTTTGCACTTGAAAGTTCTTTTCTATCTTACATAAATGTTATTTTTATTATTAAATAATTTCTAACATTATTTACGTATATACAAATTGTATTTAAAATTGCCATTATTTCTCTGAAGCGTTTTGTCTCTTTGTGCATCACAGTGCATTTTCTCCTCTCCTCCTTATAATTATCTTTGTTTCATTTATTCTACCTCAGCTTTCCCTAGTCCTGCAAAATGAAATTTGTCAATTTCATCAACTGTAAATTTAATACAATGCTTGTGCTCATCAGGATCTGTGGTTTTAGAACCCTTTTAAGAAGTCTCATCACATTATGTATTTTAGCACTGAGATAACTTCCTTATCAATTAGATATATTAGGCAATGCTAAACACATAGATACTGTATTTTATCTAAAATTATACTCACTGTAAATTTCATCAGTAAGGCACATTTAGTGAATCAGATAAAGCTTAAATTTTAGGGTCTCAAATTAGCACTATTTCTTTCTAAAGCCTTTTGTAATTAACACAAACATAATTTTTGTAGTAGTAATTTATCTTTCTGTTTTTTTTAAAGACCTCCCAAATTATAGAAGTTTCAGGTACCACAAAACCTAAATCTGACCCTCCCAAGAAATTATAGTTGATGATTAGATCTCCATATTGTTTCAAACACATAGCTCCCGATTCTTATATTATAACATGGTCCAATCTGATAATCTAGATTTACACTCCTGAATACAAGCCTTAACATTTCAGGTGTTAGATCTGGAGATCTATTATGGGCCCAACTACAACAGAAGTGATTTTTTATTTTGTGTTTACTAATTGCAATCCCTGATTCTAGCATGATTCTCAAAACAGTATGGGCAAGGGAATTATGTATTAAATACTAATTAATAATAACAAATAAAGAAAAATGACCTAGCATTGTAGCAACACAAATAGATAATAATAAAGAATTTAGGACTAGATAAGATAAATTATGTCAAAAACTACAAAAATGGCTTTATGTAGTTTAAGTTTATGTCAGAAGAAATTAAAGCATGAAAACTGAAGGAACAATTGGAAGTCAAATCTGCAAATTATTTTAGACTTTCCCTATTAATATTTGAAAGGTGAAGAAGATTTTTAAGTTTGTATTTCAATTTGAAATGTAACATCTTTTTACTACGAATTGAGGTCAGGGTCTACTACAATCATTTATTTGACAAAATCAAAGCTTTCATTAATTTTTTCATGTATAAGTATGTAAAAATGAAATGCTTGAAGATAAAGGACTTATAAAGAAGCATAAAGAAACGACCAATGTTCAGTCTGAAAGAAATGCAGTAAAATCAGGTCTGATTGCAGGTTGTCAGTCTGAACTTCTCGGTCTCATTAAGATTTCCCTGAAGGAATAGAGCCTGCTACTTCCAGGTTTGTTCTTTCTAGCGGAGCCTAAAAGACAAGTGACAGAAAATCAGATCAACCTATCAAAATGTCAGAGGTGTCTGATTCTGCTACTCCCATGCTGAGCACATAGTAGGCACTCAAGAGGCTTTTGAATGATGGATTGGCCCAGCTACATTAAATTAAGCATTCAAAGAGCAAGATTTGAATTAAGGATGAATAGAGACTTCTATTATAAAAATCTCCTAAAGATGTTAACTATTTTTTTCAATCCAATGCTGTATATTTCTCAGCTTATATATTTCAAATGAAGTTCCTTATTTTGTGATTCTGAGGGGCATGTACTTTCAGCCTCTGCAAATGTTGATCAACTCTATAGGAATTTGTTCAATTCTTTAAATATATTCCAACACTGGCACATATTTTTTCTGTTATTTCAAATCACTTTCAAGATTTATTTATGAAATTCAGTTTCGTTCTCCATGAATTTCAAAGCTTTCTATTGTGTGGGTGTAAGTGAGTGTGCTGTTTATGAGAGAATGTGAGAGCAAAAGTTTGAGAAGAAAAGATTTTTTTAATGACTGTTTTCAGAAATTTATGGTATCATATATTTCAATTTATATGCATATGATGGTTTCACTAATAGTTAAAAAGGAATAGTTAAAATAAGTGGTAGGCACTTTTATAAAGTTTCATAAAGTTAATTTTATTATTATTGCCATACACAGATTAGGAAAATGAGCTACAGAGAAGTGAATAATGTGAATTTTATAGTTTCATAAATCTTGTTAGTTATTGCTCTTGGTTTGTTAGTGTTTCTGCAATACTGGGTGAAACAACAACCAATAGTAAATGAAAATAAATTTAGAACTTTAAAATTTCTGTAGTCTCTTTTGTTAGAATCATGTATTTTATTTTTTCATCCTGTTTAAAATAAAACAGGGAACTCCTATTCTTGCAATATAGCAGACTAGATTATCTGAAGTATTGTTTAGAGTGTGCAATTGCATGTGGAATAAATAGCTAAGAAAAGTATTTTGAAGTTATGCTCATATTAAAATAGAAGTATATCAGAAAGTCTGGCAAGTGAACATATGAAGGGATGGCTTTCATTAGGGAAGGTGCACTGAACCCAACATCAGGCATGAGGAACAAGAGACAAAAGGTAGACCTCTCCTTCCCACTCCTGCAAAAAATCAAGTAAGGTTCACAAGAAACTGCAAAAGCCTGAGACCCTTATGGTCAATACCGTCAATGTAATTCTATTAATATCGAATTTTCTGAAACAGGTTGATTGATGAAATGCCTTATGCAACTGATAATAATGTAAATTGATACAGTCACTTTGGTAAAGGTTTGTAATTGCATATTAAATGGAAAATTCTCATATTCTTATCATTCAGTCATTTCTCTGAATGTGAGAAGAGTATTCACAACTCTTTGTATTTTATTATTTTGTTTATACTCTTCAATTTTTTGCATATATACATAAAGAACCACAAAAAGAAATGTTTTAGCTATATTTTACATAATAGCAAATACATGGAAATAAAAATATATAACAATCATAGAATTAATTAAGAAATTGTGGTATGTATATACAATGGATTTCTTTCAGCAGCAAAAAATGAAGGAAATATAGCTAAAGGTAACAGCATGATTAAAACTCAAAAACGTTACGTTGAGTGAATGGACCAAGTCACAAAAGAACATATTTATTTCATTCATTTTGTAAAAAGCGTTGGTTCAAATATTCGAATCAAATATTTTATTTTTGCAAGTAAGAGGTATGTGCACAACTCAGGACCGATGTAACTTCTAGGGAAAGAAATAATGGGATATTTTAGTGGGCAGCACAGTGGGCTTCTAAGGTAGTTGCTACATTTTATTTATTTTTGTGGAGGGTATGGGTACTTATTTAACCATTTCTTTAAATCATACATATCAATTTTTTACATTTGTACATATAGCATTTACCACAATGAAAATATTAAAAAATCAAATAACAAAGATGAGAAGTAAAAGAAATATATAATAAGAAAAGTAGGATGAACAATATAAAAAGGTTTTGAGTAGGAATCTCACAAAATATTTTGTATGCTGTTAGTAAGTACATTATGAAAAGAGGAAAGGAATAAATAAGTGCTAAAAAGAGACATATAAGACATCAAGAAAAATAAATAAAGAAATGCGGATAAGTAAAGTGAATTAGAAAATATGTATGGAAGTGGCTGTTATTTTAAAAGGATAGATTCCATGTATGTCTTTGGATCTACTCTTTCTTGAAATTGTGTTAAAATGATATTAATCATAAGTCTGCAGAGACAAAAACAAATAGGAAATGAAAAGGAGAAGTCTCAATATATTGTATGCTAAAGCCTAGGCCCCTTTCTCGTTCTGTCTCTCGATAGATAGATAGATAGATAGATAGATAGATAGATAGATAGATGGATAGATAGATATGTGTAAAATATATATTGGTCTATATATTGAAGGAAATGCATTAAAAACTAAATGTACAATTTTGAAGATAAGTCTAAAGAAACATTAGAGAAAGAAAAAAGGCACAAAAAATAAATAAGTAAAGAGGAAAAAAATAGATCAATCTGGGTAGTCAACTAGCTATTCTTCTGAATAATAGGGGTTGCAAAAATAATGTATTTTCTTATGAAGGAAATTGGTCAAAAACTTTTATCAGAATAGGAAAATGTGAATGTTTAGACTCAAAAAGTTTTACTGATTGCTTAGAACAAGAAAGTTTGAAAACCCCCAATAAGATACATCATTATAAAATGTTAGAACTCTAGGAATAAAAAATTATAATCTTAACAGCCCCCGAAAGAATACTAAAAGGTTACATCTAAAACACCAAGAAGGACAACGTCTTTGTATTTTCAATAGTATCAGGAACAGTGAGGGTGGCTGGAAATGCTTTGAAAATTCTTGAAAAAAATAATTTTCCACCTAAAATTCTATGAGCAGGTAACTTAGTGTTCTGCTAGCAAGTGGACTGATGATGTTTTCTGACACACAAAATATCGAAGCTATCTCCTATATTGTCCTTTTCCTGAAGATGAAGAATAAATGTGCTCAAGAAAAGGGAGGAAGGTAAGTAAGGAGAGATAAAAATAATACTGTGAATAATGACAAATGGAAATCCTAAAATACAACCAGCCTGCAGAAAAAAAAAAAGTCCTGATAGGCACTAATATTATGGCTTCTGGAGTGGGAATATAGATTTACACTTCCAGAGAGTTGCAAGAAAAGTTGTTGTTATATATAAAGTAAAACGGGCAGCAAGCCAAAAGGAGGAAATAAAACCACATTGCAAACATGTCTCATACTGAACAATATTCTTAATCATTAATAACTGAAAAACTGAAAACATGCTACCTATTAATTTATATCTATAGATTGTCAAATATGGAAGATATATTTGTTTGTGAGGAGAAGTGGAAAGAAAAATAGATTTTCCTATTTCATCTTAGAAGGCCTATATATCTTAAAAACCCAGCAATGGATTACCAGCATATGGAAGAATTGAATAGAACACAAAATCAAGAAATAGAAGAACATGCTGTGACTAGTGGCTCACGCCAGTAATCCCAGCACTTTGGGAGGCTGAAGCGAGAGGATCATTTGAGGTCAGGAATTCAAGAACTGCCTGGGCAACATGTCGAAACCCCATCTCTACTAAAAATACAAAAAGTAGCCGGGTGTGATGGCTCGCACTTGTAATCCCAGCTACCAGGGAGGGTGAGGCAGGAGAACCACTTGAACCTGGGAGGTAGAGGTTGCGATGAGCTGAGATCGCGTCACTGCACTCCAGTCTGGGCGAGAGAGTAAGACTCCGTCTCAAAATAATAAAAATAAATAAATAAATAAATAAATAAAAGAAATAGAAGAACATGCATATGTTGGGAAAAATTGTATAGACTATAGCTTCTGTAAATCAGAATTCGAGATTGGGGAACCAGTGAAACATAAGGAAGCACTATTTGTTTTTATAAATGGTTATATATAAAATTGAGATTTAAAACTAATTTGAAAAAAATAAAATGGTAAAACCTTGTTAAAGAAAATAAATATAAAATTAGTGGACGGGGGATGAATACTTCCATGGCCATGACTGGGCAATAGATATTCCTCTCTTTGTCCTTAATGTTCCTTCTGATTTTTCCTTTTCCTTCTTTCTGAATCCCTTCAGTATCCTTCTTTCCTATGCTATAATTTTGGTTTTCTAACTTTCTCTTCATCTCTTTAATCATCATTGCCTGTTTTCCCCCCTTCTTTCTTAATATCAAATGCTTTTATTTAAAAAATGTCAAAACTTGGAACACACTTTGTACCTGTTTCTCCCCAACAATATTTTCATACTTAAGTATGTGCCTTTGTCATTTAGATTGGGTCTGTGATTCTAGATGGATTCAAGGTAAGTGTAAAGGACGCAAAGTTCTTTAAAATTACTGTGGGATCATTTTCAGATTACATATACCTTTACCTTCCCATTTGGAAAAGAATCCCCAGAGTCCTATAATTTGTTAAGTACTGCATATTGATCTAATAGTGTTTTAGAAAGTATCTTAATATGGTCTTCTTAGGTTTCATCCTTCTTAAAAATTAAACTTATATTCAAATTGTCAAATGCTCTCATTAGCATGATTATGAGTTCTGTGGATAAGAGGGACTGATATATTCTCATCAATGACCCACTAATGCAATCTATAGGTTCATTTTCACAATTGCAATGCATAACTTACATTTCAAATAAAGCTTTGAATAATTTAGTTCACAGAAAGCCATTTCAGTAGCTACTTTTTTGTATACCTGACATAGCTGATTTATCTCACATACTTTAAATATAATAATTAATTTTCATGAACTAAAAATACTTCATAATTTTAATAACATATAAAATTTTAACTTCACTGATATAAAAAAAATACAATTAAGGATTACACCACATCATAAGTATAGTACTTTTAGTTTTCAAAAAAAATATAATCTAGAAAAAACATAAACTTAATCTGTTATTCACTATTTTTGAAAATGTCACGAGTTTTCAAAACTCCTTTTTCTGCAAATAAGGATTGTTGTGTGAAATATTCTCATTTTCATTGATCACTCCCAAATTCTTACACATATATTAATACCCTTCTCTCCATAAAGCCCTTCTTAATTCCCCAGATGGATTTAGTTTCTCCCTACTCTTTACAATGTAGCAGACTTTAAACCGTCTATATAACAACAGTGTAATAATTGTTTACAAGCCTGAAAACTACACCAGTGTAATAAGACTCTTGAGGATAGTGACTTCATTTTGTGTTTATTTGTATCTCTGAGAATGGTATTTTGAACCCCCATAGACACGTGACTCAAGTTCAGTAATCACCAATACCTATAAAAATACATAAAACTTCACTATATATCTTTAAAAAAAAAGACCTTTTATTTTTAACACCGCCACAATATTATTTTTACTCTCAATAAAAACTTAGGAATTACAATAATTCCTAAATACCAGAAAACAGTTAAAATAGTGCTCAAGTGCCCAGAATTCTCTTTCTTTCTCTCTCTTTCTCTGTTTCTCTCTCATGTTTTGACTGACTCAGGATCCAAACAAGGTCCACATATTACATTTGGTTTACATGTACCTTAAGTCTCATTATATCTACAATACCCAAACTCTTTTATTCTCTTTGTCTTGCAACTGATTAAGAAGGTGAGCTATTTATTCCACAGGATTTTCTACTTTCTAAATATATTTGATTCCATGTTTGTAGTGGCACTTAACATATCACTCTATTCATTTTATACTTCTTATAAATTTGTAGTTAGTATTAATCAAATCAAATAAATAATACATTATGTTTGTCTAACTGTAAATGTAAGACTAAATAAAATCCAAATACTATAGCTATCAATAAATGAAGGGAGAGAATAAGGTAAATGGACAAATGATAGAATTACAATTTCTCTGATGATATATTTCATTTGTCATTAGAAGCATGCAAAAGTTTTACACAATATTAAACAGAATTACACCAAAACATAAAATAAAAATATTTAATATTTAAAGCCAAATGAAACAAATAGTCTCTAACAAGATCTAAGTATACAGAGAGAAATTATTTCAAGGGATTTCAAATTGCAATCATTTATGCTTACACATTGGCAAATATCCTAAGAGCAAAAATATTTTAAACTTATTTTTAATAATCTTATTTTTAGTAATGATTTTGGTATTATCAAAATAAATGTATTGTATGTACACATAAGGGACTGGTGTGATTGAGCCAACTTTGTACCACCTTGTGTGAAACCTGGTCATTGAATTTTCAGTAACTTTGTGAACCCAGTGTTAAATGCAGTTATTATTAAAAAATTAATCATAAAACCTCACAACTAAATATATTTCGTTTTAAAATAAGGTTAATAAATTTTCAACAATTCATCACTTCTTAATTACTTTACTCTATTTTATGACATCTGTGATCTTAAGATTATTTACATCTATTGTACCTGTATGGTGAACATATTAGAGACCCCTGCATGACAGTGCATCTTCCTGAACTTTGCATTCAGTGGTGCCATGATAGCAGCCTGAAATCAACCATAGTGGGTGTATTTACTCCATGGAAATAAGCAAATGCTACAAACCAGGGATGTTTTTATTTCTCCAGGGAGTTTATTTTTCAATGCTTAACATTTAACAGCATACTACTGTATGTATAAGCACTCATCTATGAGGATAAGTCAAATAAGTAAATAAGCTAATGTCATTAGAAATCAATATTTTTCAGATTATAAAATGTAGATAAATATAAAATCAAATAATACAAAACACGATAATTCTGAAGTGTAATTGGACATATTAGTATGAATCCATGATGTGTTTTTTCTCTTATTAAAAAAGGCATATATTCTTAGCTGCATTTATCAAAACTCTAGAAACAATGAACAATAACATAGTAAGGAGAAACTTTAGTGCCCAGGTTGTGATCACTAAACACATTGTATTAATAATAATCAAAGCTCCTTGAGGAAATGACTAATTCCAGGTCTGAAGTAAAAATGGTGCAAGAGGTGCTTGGAACATCACATTATACAAGATATCATGAAAGTGATAAAGCTTATTAGGCTCATATTAAATAAAACAAAACAAAACTTTGAATGATGCCTCTGGTCAAAGATAGGACAATATGAGCATCAAAAATAATTACTGCAATAGATTGAAGCATATCAAGCATGCTAATATTACTGCAATTGTAAGTAAAATAAAAATATATTTCTCACTTTTATTACATTTTTGAGAACCAATTATTATTCTCAATAATTAATAAACATCAGAACATATTCCTTAATGTCTATGTAAAATACACTTTATGATACTTAGAATAATGTAATGAATTGCAGTTAGTGAATGGGAAATACATGGTAGAATTAGAATAGAATTATTTTGCAACTCCTAAATAAATAAAGCAGGTAGACAATCAGCATTGATCGTCTAAACCATTTAGGTAAAAACCTGACAATGAATATTATGTAGATGGATTGGACTGATAATACCTGGTCACACTGATCAAAATTAACTTCACAAAAAGTTATAAAATGTGTACCCTGATAGGGATCTATGAGAAGTACAGAGCATCTCTGTGTCCTTGTGAGAATTATATGGACAGTATTAAAGGTTTGTAAATGAATGTGAGAATGAATAAACAGAACTGTAAATGTATTAGCTGAATATCTCCCTTTCAAACTGTTAACTATGTAGAAATGAAGTGAAATTACATTCTGCACTTGAAAAGGAACAGTAGGACACTTAGCGGTGTTAAAAAATATTTTTAAAAATCAATTTATTTAAGAAGACTAATATTTTCCCTAAATGACTGTCATGGCAGTGGCAAAAGTATTTAAAATTCAGATATCCAGTTTCAACATTTTGAAAATCATCTTCTAGTTACCAAGTAGCTCTATAAAAGCTTTTCAGAAATGAGGTTCATTAATTGTAAATTATATTTTGAAAATATTTTGCAAAGAAAGTGCATGATAATTGTTAGTTTCTAACTTGCTGTTATAATCTTATTAATCAAGGTTATGACTTCAAACATAAAATATACTTTTAAAGAAATGAAACATGTTCAATCTATGAAGAAACAAAGGCTTAAGATAGAAGTAGTTATACATAAAAACTATTATGTTCAGAGTCAGAAAAGTATGGGCAATAGGTTAATAATACACTTACAGTATATACCTAAAGATGGACTCTCTCTTTTTTATTCCTTTGTGCATATATGTGTGTATATACACATGTGCACTCACCAGATCTCTCTCTCTCTCTTTATGTGTATCTATCTATCTATCTATCTATCTATCTATCTATCTATCTATCTATCTTTGGATAAGAGATAAAACTGTGTTTGCTTTGAATTTTATTGAATTCTATATTTTTTATTTTTTGAATCGTAATTATTTCTTGCACATGAACGCTAATATTTCCTTTCCATATTGTGATAAGTGCATATTAGGACACACACACATACACACATCACACATACACACACACACAAACTAAATAGTTTTGTCAGTAGAGTTCTTTACATAGTAATTGAGAATTCAAACTATGAAAAACTTTTGGGAATTGGCTGCATTTTCTACATATGGTAGAAAATATTTGGTTAGTAGAATTAAGTTGCTGCCAACTTAAGGCAGTTCTTTTCTGGACTGTAAAAAGATGGGAGGGATAAACTTCTTGGATGAAAAGAATTAATGACATCATTATCAGTCAATGCAAAGATATCCTCAAGCATCACTGACATGGTAAATTATTAAATAAAAAAAATAGCACCTGCCATAGCAAAGCTAATGGTGCATATCTTTAAAAAGGAGAAGCAGCCTTAGATGGTGGTGTTTATACAGTCTGCGCCTAGAGTGTTCAGTTTTTCCTTTGGAATGCATTGATTACCTAAAAATACCTTGATTGAAGGAAGGGAGCCTTTAACCTTGATAATGAATAAGTCTCAAGTTGCTGCTCTAATGTCCTAAGTCCTCAGTTTATCTTTGTTTCTAACAGTGTGACTCTAAATCAAGATGAAAAAGCAACTCGACATGAGGAAAAATAAAAAGGAGGTCATTTAATCACCCTGTTAGCTTCAAATGATTATTGATTCTTGGAGGTGAAGTCTAATTCTGCCAGAAAATCCATTTCAGTAATGATTACTACCTCAGTTTTATCTATAATCCTGGAGGTTATTAAAGGTGAAGGTCTCAAGGGAAGTATACAACTTAGGCCATTAATATCGTATTTCATATTTTTATAAGAACAGTTTCTATTTGTTCCCTTTACCTACAATGGAATCAGGGTAGTCATTTAGAAATATGTGCTTCACCACAAGACTAATTATCATATACATTCCTTTGGGAAACAGAAACACACTGAAGTACCTGATAGATATATATCAAACAAAGTAGTTCATATTGAACTTCTTTTTGTTTCTCATTACCACATGTACACAGCATTCAAGTATCATACCTAGAAATCTGACATTAATATATTGCCTTTTGTTCATTCACATTTCTCAATCATATCTGAAATGCTGTTAGAATCCCAGATTTGCAAAAACACAGTTAAAATAGACAAATACAGATAATATATGTGCCTCTAACACAAATAACTAGAACTAAGATAATCCCTTATATAGGGTTTGTTAAGGGTGATGTGCCACCAAATCAGACATTTTCTTCTTTGGACTATCTCCATGTTTGCAGTTGTTCAGTGAAATCAGGAAGAATAAGAGAAGAGGACATGTATGGAGCATAATCTCAAAATGGTGTATCACAGATTGAATTTATTATTTAAACTTCTACTGAATTGCAACAGAGCAGAACTAAGAAGTAACTTGAATCTCTTATAATGGGAATGGGGGAAAGAAGAGATATTTGTGAATAAAATTGTTATGCATTGGTAGAAACTGCACATTGAATATGAGGTAAATGGAGAAGTCTAAGTTGACAACCATATTTGTGAAATAGGCAACAATGTCTCAAAAATAAAATATAGGGAAAAGGATAATTGGGAGGAAATATTATGAGCTTAGTTTTGAAGAAAATGAATATGAGTTCCATGTTTTTATTTATAAGGTCATCAAAAATATGACTGTAATATTTATAAAATAGGTATAGGATATAATTAGAAATTTGTATCTAAAGTTATATGTCATCATTACACTGAAAGGGATACTGAAGAAAAAGGTAATAAAATAGGAAGGGAAAGTGAGAGTATGGAAGTTATTTAATCTCCTTTTGGGCTTTGTCCTTGAATGATAAAATATCAACTTTTTATATCAGAGTTTTATTTCATTAAATGTAATAAATATGGGGCTATGATATGGTTTGGCTGTATCCCCACCCAAATTGCATCTTGTAGTTCTCATAATACCCACGTGTCATGGAAGGGACCTGGTGGGAGGTAATCAAATCATGGGGGTGGCTACCTCCATGCTGTTCTCATGACAGTGAGTGAGTTCTCACAAGATCTGATGGTTTTATAAGAAGCTTTTCCTCCACTTCGTTCTGCACCTCCCCTTCCTGCTGCCATGTGAAGAAGGATGTGTTTGCTTTTTCTTCCTCCATGATTGTAAGTTTCCTGAGGTTTCCCCAGCCATGCTGAATTGTGAGTCAATTAAAACTCTTTTTAAAATAAATTATCCCATTTAGGGTATGTCTTTTTTAGAAGCATGAGAATGAACTAACATAGTAAATTGGTACTGGTAGAGTTGTGTGCTACTGTGAAAATACCCAAAAATGTGGAAGCAACTTTGGAACTGGGTAAACAGGCAGAGGTTGGAACAGTTTGGAGAGCTCAGATGAAGACAAGAAAATGTGGGAAAGTTTGAAACTTTCTAAACACTTGGAGGACTCAGAAGACAGAAAGATGTGGGAAAGTTAGAAACTTCCTAGAGACTTGTTGAATGGCTGTGACCAAAATGCTGATAGTGACATGGACAGTAAGGTCCAGGGTAAGGTGGTCTCAGATGGAGATGAGGAACTTGTTGGGAAACGGAGTAAAAGTCACTCTGGCTATGCAAATAGACTGGTGACATTTTGCCCTGCCCTAGAGATCTGTGGAACTTTGAACTTGAGAGAGATGGTTTAGAATATCTGGTGGGAAAATTTCTAAGCAGGAAAGCATTCAAGAGGTGACAGAGCAAAATATTAGAAAATTTGCAGCCTCATGATTTAGTAGAAAAGAAAAACCCATTTTCTGGGGAGAAATTCAAGTCAGCTGTAAAAATTTGCATAAGTAACAAGGAGCCAGATGTTAATAGCCAAGACAATGGGGGAAATGTTGCCAGGGCCTGTCAAGGACATCTGTGGCAGCCTCTCCCATCACAGGCCCAGAGGCCTAGGAGAAAAAATGGTTTTGTGGGATGGATCCAGGGCCCCCTTGCTGTGTGAAGCCTAGGGATTTGGTGCCCTGGGTCCCAGCCACCTCAGCTATGGCTAAAAGGAGCCAAGGTACAGCTCTGGCCATGGATTCAGAGGGTCCAAGCCCCAAGCCTTGGCAGCTTCCACATTGGTGTTGGTCCTGCAGGTGCACAGAAGACAAAAATTGAGTTTTCAGAACCTCTGCCTAGATTTCAGAGGATGGATGGAAATGCCTGGATGTCCAGTCAGAGGTGTGCTGCACAGGCAGAGCCCTCATGAACAACCTCTGCTAGGGCAGTGGAGAAGGGAAATGTGGGATCAGAGCCCCCACACCGAGTCCCCACTGGGGCACTGTCTAGTAGAGCTGTGAGAAGAGTGCCACCATCATCCAGACACTAGAATGGTAGGTCCACCAACAGCTTGCACCATGAACCTGGAAAAGCCACAGACACTCAATGCCAGCCTGTGAAACCAGCCAGGATGGGGAAGCTGTATGCTGCAAAGTCACAGAGACAGAGTTGCCCAAGGCTGTGAGAGTCCACCTCTTACATCAGCGTGATATGGATGTGAGACATGGAGTCAAAGGAGATCATTTTAGAAAATTAAGGTTTAATTACTGCGCTATTGGATTCCAGACTTGCATGGGGCCTGTAGCCCCTTTGTTTTGGCCAATTTATCCCATTTGTAACGGGTGTATTTATTGGAGGACTGTTAGAAGGGCATGATTGTGTTTTGAAATGTAAAGACATGAGATTTGGGAGAAGCTGGAGTCAGAATGATATGGTTTGGCTGCGTCCTCACTCAAATCTCATCTTGAACTATAGTTCCATAAATCCCCACATGTTGTGGGAGGGACCAGTGGGAAGTAATTTAATCATGGGGTTGGGTAACCTCATGCTGTTCTTGTGATAGTGAGTGAGTTCTCATGAGATCTGATGGTTTTATTAGGGGCTTCCCCCTTCACTTGGCACTCATTTCTCTCACCTGCTGCCATGTAAGACATACCTGTTTCACCTTCTGACTTGATTGGAAGTTTCCTGAGGCCTCCTTAGCCATGTGTAACTGTGAGTAAATTAAACCACCTTTCTTTATAAAATACCCAGTCTCAGGTATGTCTTCATAGCAGCATGAGAATGGACTAATACAGGCTATTCAATTATAATTATAGAAAAGCAACATAAACATTAAAATAAAATAAAATAAAATAAAATAAAAATAAAGCCAAATTAGAATATAATTTTGCCAAATAGAGATTTATTTCCCCTAATTTATAGAATAGAACACATTCACATGAAATCGTGTGTTTGAAAATAGACATTTTTAAATGCTGTTGTTAAGTGTTTATTCACTTCATTTGCATTTCTCTTTCATGGAGGTTACACTAGAGTCAGGAAGTACAGATAATTGCAAAAATAAGTAAAATGTTATGTAGTTTTCATGACGAGGAAAAGTTAGGAGGGTGGGAATACACAAATGCATAGATGCTACGATTTTAAATAGACTGAACAGGGACAGCATCACTTAGAAAGTAACCTTTCAGATAACAATATTTTTCTTTATGCTTAGTAACAGATATAAAATTGCAATCTAGTGATGTCAGATTTGCCTAAATTATAAATTAATTAATTCTTGCTGAACAATAGGCATATTCACATTCAAACTTTAAAATTTATTTTTTTCTTTCTCTATAGTAATTATGGAAAAGACGTTCAAAAAATTGTGTGTGTGTGTGTGTGTGTGTGTGTGTGTGTGTGTAAAAGTTATTTTATTTTGGTTGTCACTGCTTGTTTTTTTTTCCTGAACACAAATTGAGCACCTGTTCATTAGTATATTAAAAATCAAATATGAAAAGAATTCCACTTAAATTAATATTTCTGGTAATGCCATCCACCCATCCAAGGAAACAAGCACTGTGAATATGTTTATATAACTGCTTTCATAGAAATGAAATAAAAATGTTTATATTATATTATTTAATATTTAAACTTGCTCTCCTCTCTTAAGAAAAAATAGACACTTATATCTGGATAAATAGTGTCTTCTGGTATCTTCTAGCCTTAGTCTTTGAGGAGTAATCTCTGGCCTGGACCTCATCTCAATACAGCAGAATTAAGGCTCCTGTCTTTATCCCTGCTAAGGTGGTATCAGAAAAATACTACTGGAAAGTAAGGACTTTCACTGTGTACATCATTAATGAGGCCAACCTCTGCCACAATGTCAGTTCAGGTCACATGGGGAGCAATAACTTGGCACAGCAATCCCTCCGAGCCAGGAAGATATCAGGGGAGGCCTAGAAGGAAACCGGAAGTCCCATTTCCACCCAGTAGTAAAAAGGAAATTCCCCCTCAGATTTTAACAAGGCTCAATAAGAAGCTTGGACTTTCATCATCATCTAGAAGTAAGGAGGTGGCCTCCATTTTTTTCTGCCAAGACAGATGAATCAGAAGGTTTAAAAATGATTTCAGTTGCATAACATAATATTCACAATGTCCAGCTTTTAAGTAAAAAAAAAAGAATCATAATACCAAGAATAAAGAAGGTCTCAAGCTGAATTCAAAACATATAATCAATAGATGATAACATGGAGGATACAGAGATATTAGAATTATATAACAAAGATTTAAAGTAGCCATAACAACGTTTCAATGAGATTTCATAGATATTCTTGACACAAACTAATAAAAAGACTCAACAAAAAAGAGAAAGTTTAAGCAAAGAAATAGAGAATATAAGGAAGAACTAAATACAAATTTTGAAACTGAAAAATATAATAAATAAATAAAGCTCAATGGACGAGCTCAATAACAAAATTAATGTGACACGGAAAAGAAAGAATGAGATGAAAGAGCAATAGAAATTAGCAAACCTGAAAACAGAGATAGAATAACTGAAAGAAAAATGTTCAGAGACCTGTGAGATTGTAACCAAAGATCCAACATTCACGTAACCAGAGTTATGGATGGCAAAGAGGAAAGTAGAGCTGACAGAGCACATGAGAAAATAATGTCTGAAAACTTTCCACTTTTGACAAAAGACATATATCAATAGTTTCCAGATGTCTAGTAAATCTCAACAAAACTTGCACTAAGATAAATTATAGTCAAAGTTCTCAAAACTGAACTCTAAAGGAAATTTTCGAGAGCAGTGAGAGAGTAAGGATACCTTACATATAAGAGGGAAATAATTAGAATGATTGCATTTCTTATCAGAAACCATGGGATCTAAAAAGGAGAGGCAGTCATTTTCAATGACCGAAAGAAAAGACTGTGAACCCAGAATCTTACACCCAGCAAAATATCCCTTAAAATGAAGGGAGTATCAAGATATGCTCAGATCAAGAAAAACTAATAAATGGTTGCAAATTATGTAACCAAAAGAATATCTAAAAAAAGTTCTCCAAACAGAAAGAAAACTTAGAATATAAAGGAAGAAGAAAGAACACAGTATAGTTGACCATTGAACAACATGGCGTGGGTTTGCTTATACACATATATTTTTTTTCAGTAAATAAATTCTTTTTGAGATTTGAAACAATTTTTAAAAACTCACAAACCATGTAGCCAAAAAGTATGAAAAATTAAGAAAAAAGTTGTGTCATGATGCATAAAATATATGTAGATACCAGTCTATTTTGTCATTTCTTACCATGAAATATACACAAATCTGTTACATGAAGAAAAAACTTTTCAAAGATTATGTACACAAACGCTTACAAAACATACATGATTCCATTAACAGATAAGATAAATGCAACCAAATGTAAATATGGGATATTAAATGAAAACTATAAAAGTTAACTGTAGTTCATACTGTACTACTATAATAATTTTGTTGTGACTTCATGTTGCTATTGCAATGAGCTCAAGCATGTTGTGAATATTTGTTTAAATGTTACATGACACTAATCATCTCCCTGTGAACATTTCTTCTCTCTAATAAATTTCATATTGCAATAAAAAGTGATATCTCATGATTCTCTCTCATTTCTCATTATATTTAGTTCAATAGCATAAACTTTGAAGAATACCGGGGGGCCCTATATGAAGTGCAATTAGTGATGCTTGGGGTGCTCCCAATAAGCAGACCAAAGTCAAGACATTACAAGAAATAGTTGAATTGCTTGGTGTGTATCATAGATTGAGGTCTTCAGCTGCAGTTGCTTACCATTTCAAGATAAATGAATCCAGCCCAGGGACCACTGTGAGAAAAGAAAAGGAAATTTGTGAAGCCATCACTGAAGCTATGCCAGCAGGTGGAAAAACTCTGGACTTTTTGTGTAATACCTTTTTGTCTATCTCGTACTGAAAGTGCAGCTTTTATGATGTGCAGATTGCTCTATGAAAGGCATACATAGACTCTAATATAATTAAATAAAAAGTAAAGTAATTATATAACAAAGCAAAAGAAAGATGAAGGAGCTAAGCTGGAGAATTTAATGCTAGCAAAAGACGGTTTGATAATTTCAGAAAGAAGTTTGGCTTAATAAAATATCAACAAAACAGGAAAAGTCCCTTCTGTCAACCAAGAGGCAGCAGTGAGTTCACAGACACCGTTAAGAAAATCCCTGAGGCTACAGGATCCTGTGAGGTTAATATTAGGTATCAACTTGATTGGATTGAAGAATGCCTAGAGAGCTGGTGGAGTATTGTTTCTGAGTGTGTCTGTGAGGGTGTTGCCAGAGGAGATTAACATTTGAGTCAGTGGACTGGGAGAGGAAGACCCACCCTCAATGTGGGTGGGCACCATCCAATCAGCTGCCAGTGCAGCTGGAAGAAGGTGGAAGAAGGTGGGATAAACTGGCTTGCTGACTCTTCTTTCTTCCGTGCTGGACGCTTCCTGCCTTTGGACGTCAGACTCTAGGTTCTTTGGCCTTTGGGCTCTTGGACTTAAATCAGTGGTTTGCTGGAGGCTCTCAGGCCTTTGGCCACAGACTGAAGGCTGCACTGTTAGCTTGCTTACTTTTGAGGCTTTTGTACTCAGACTAAGTCACTACTGGCTTCCTTCCTACTCAGCTTGCAGACAACCTATCATGGGACTTCATCTTGTGATTGAGTGTCAATTCTCCTTAATAAACTCCCTTTCATATTTACATTAATCCTATTAGTTCTGTCCCTCTGGAGAACCCTGACTAATAAGACAGATACCTACTTGAACGGGTTATTAATGCAGATGAAAGTGCCTTATTTTGGAAAAAAAAAATGCCACAAAGGACATCTATTGCTAAGAAAGAGAAGCAAGCACAAGGATTTAAGGTAGGAAGGGATATGCTAACAATACTTGTTTTGTGAAAATGCACTTGGGTTTATGGTAAGAACTGTCCTTATCTGTAAAGTTGTTAACCCCTGAGCCTTGAAGGGAAAATATAAACACCAGCTTCCAGTCATTGTATTGTATGAGAAGAAGGCTTGGACAACAAGAACACTTTTTCTGGATTGATTTCATTGGTGTTTTGTCCCTGAAGTCCAGAAGTACCTTGCCGGTAAGAAACTGTTTTCTAAATTTGTTTTTGATATGGACAATGGCCCTGGTCACTCAGAACCCCATGAGTTAAAAATAAAAGTTATTGAAGTGGTCTAATTGCCCCCAAACATAGCATTTCTAATTCAGCCTCTAGATCAGGGGGTTATAAGGACCTTTAAAGCTCATTACACATGGTAGTCTATGGAAACAATTGTTGGAAGGTCAGATGCGGTGGCTCATGCCTGTAATTCCAGAACTTTGGGAGGCCAAGGTGGGTGGATCACCTGATGTCAGGAGTTCGAGACCAGCCTGGACAACATGGTGAAACCCCATCTCTACTAAAAATACAGAAAATTAGCCAGGCATGATGGTGCATGCCTGTAATCCCAGCTACTGGTGAGGCTAAGGCAGGAGAATTGCTTGAACCCTGCGGGGGCAGAAGTTGCTGTGAGCCAAGATCGCACCACTTCAGTCTAGTCTGGGCAAAAAGAGCAAAACTCCGCCTCAAAGAAAGAAAGAAAAAAAAGAATTGTCAGCAATATGAAAGAGAACCCTGATAGAGTAAATATCATAAAGGAAGGATTAAACCATTGAAGATGCCATCATTGTTATAGAAAACACCAAGAAAGCCATGAAGCTGAAAATAATATATTCCTGTTAGTAAAAACTTTGTCTACATGTTGTGCATGACTTCACAGATTTGTAATGGAGTCAACCAAAGAAATCTTTGAAGAGATTGTAGATATAGTGATAAAGTGAGAGGGGGTGAAATGTATCTTGGATACATTCAAGGCTACTAGTCCAACATCAGAGGAAGTAACAGAAGACGAATGATTGAGATGTGTGTTTCCAAACCAGTGCCAGACAATAAAGAAGCAGCTGTATCAAAAAGTAGTGACAGGAAACAATTTGTCATTAGATAATCTGGCAGAAGGTCTCCTATTATCCAGGACTGTTTGTAACTTATTTCATGCATGGGCTCTTCGATGATATGGGGACTGAAACTAAAGCAAATAATAGAAGACAGATTGTTATCATATATAAACATTTTTAAAGAAATTAACAAGCAAAAATGTCAGACAGAAATAATGGTACATCTCTATAAAGTTACATTGAGTGGGCCTGCCCCTCCTGAATTCTCTTCCACCTCTTTGTTCTCTTCTGCCTCTGCCACAGCTAAGACAGCAAGACAAAATCCCCCTCTTCCTTCTCCACATACACAACATGAAGATGGTGAGGGTGAAGAGCTTTGTGATGATCCTCACTTAAGGATAGAAAATATATTTTTTTCTTCTTTATGATTTTCTTGAGAACATTTTCTTTTCTGTAGCTTACCTTACTGTAAGAATACTTTATAGATATAATATACAAAATATATGTTAATGGACTATGCTATCCACAAGGCTCTGGTCAACAGCAGGCTATTAACAGTTAAGTTTTTAAGGATTCTAAAGTTATATGTGATCCATGCAGAGGAGTGACACCCCAACCTTTGTGTTGTTTAAAAGTCAACTATAAATGCAAGTATGGATAAATACAATGAATGTTCCTTCCTCTCTTGAGGTTTCTAAATTATATTTGATGGTGAGGCAAACATTATAACACCATCTGATGTGGTTTAAATGTATATAAAGGAAATATTTAATATAATTTATTTTACAAATGGTGAAATGCATAGAGTTTTTTCTAACTTTACATTTGGGGGTACATGTTCAAGTTTGTTATATAGGTAAATTTGTGTCATGGGGGTTTGTTGTACAGATTATTTCATTGGCCAGGTATTAAGTCTAATATTCATCAGTTATTTTTCCTGATCCTCTCCTTCCTCCTGACCTCCACCCCCAGAAATGCCCCAATGTGTGTTGTTCCCCTCTACGTGTCCATGTGTTTTCATCATTTAGCTTCCTCTTATAAGTGAGAACAGGCAGTATTTGTTTTTCTGTTCCTGTGTCAGTTTGCTAAGGATAATCACCCCCGGCTCCATCTATGTCCCCACAAAGGACATGATCTCATTCTTTATGACTGCATCGTATTCCATAGTGTATATGTACCACATTTTCTTTATCCAGTCTACTAATGATGGGCATTTAGGTTGATTCCATGTCTTTGCTATTATGAATAGTGCTGTAATGAACATACATGTGCATGTGTCTTTATAATACGATAATTTATACTCCTTTTCGTATATACCCAGTATTGGGATTGCTGAATCAAATAGTATTTCTCTCTTTAGGTCTTTCAGGAATTGTCACACTGTCTTCTAAAATGGTTGAACTAATTTACACTCCCACCAACAGTGTTAAGTGTTTATTTCTCTCCACAACCTTGCTAACATCTGTAATATTTTGATTTTTTAATAATAGCCATTCTGGTTGGTGTGAGATGGCTTACTGTAATGTTGATAATGATTGGTGATGTTGAGGGTTTTTTAATATAATTGTTGGGCCCTAGTTTGTCTTCTTAAAAAGTGTCTGTTCATGTCGTTTTTCCATATTTGTATGGGTTTGTTTGTTTTTTTCTTGCACATTTGTTTAAATTCCTTACAGATGCTGGATATTTGACCTTGTTGGATGCATAGTTTACAAAACCTTTCTCTCCTTCTGTAGGTTATCTGTTTACACTGTTGATAGTTTCCTTTTCTGTGCAGAAGCTCATTACTTTAGTTAGATCCCGATGGTCAATTTTTACTTTTATTGTGATTGCTTTTGGCGTCTTCATCCTGAAATTTTTGCCTTTGCCTATTTCTTGAATGGTATTGCCTAGGTTGTCTTACAGGGTTTTTATAGTTTTGGGTTTTACATTTAAGTCTTAAATCCATCTTGAGTTAATTTTTGTATATGATATAAGGAAGGGGTCCAGTTTCAATCTTTTGCATATTGCTGGCCAGTCATTCTAGCACCATTTATTGAATAAAGAGTCCTCTCCCTATTGCTTGCTTTTGTCAGGTTTGTCAAGGACCAGACAGTTGTAACTGTGTAATCTTATTTCTGGGTTCTCTATTCTGTTCCCTTGGTCTATATGTCTGTTTTTATACTAGTACCATGCTGTTATGATTACTGTAGCCCTATAGTATAGTTTGAAGTCTGGTAGTGTGATTCCTCCAGCTTTGCTCTTTTTGCTTAGAATTGCCTTGGCTATTCGGGCTCTTTTTTGGTTCCATATAAATTAAAACTTTTTTTTTTTTAAGTTCTGTGAAGAATCTCAATGGTAGTTTAATAGGTATATATTAAATATATAAATCGCTTTGGGCAGTATGGCCATTTTGACAATGTTGATTCTTCCTTTCCTGGAGTAAGGTATGTTTTCCCATTTATTTTTGTCTTTTCTGATTTCTTTGAGCAGTGGTTTGTAGTTCTCCTTGTAGCAATTTTTCACTTCCCATGTTAGCTGTATCCCTAAGTATTTTATTCTTTTTGTGACAATAGTGAATGGGAGTTTGTTCCTGATTTGGCTCTCAGTTTGACTGCTGTTGATGTATAGAAATGCTAGCGTTATTTTTGCTTTGATTTTGTATCCTGAGACTTTGATGAAGTTGTTTATCAGCTTAAGAAGCTTTTGGGCTGAGACTGGGTTTTCTTTTTTCTTTTTTTTTTTTTTTGAGACGGAGTCTTGCTCTGTCGCCCAGGCTGGAGTGCAGTGGCGCGATCTTGGCTCACTGCAAGCTCCGCCTCCCGGGTTCACGCCATTCTCCTGCCTCAGCCTCCCGAGTAGCTGGGTCTAAAGGCGCACGCCACCACGCCCGGCTAATTTTTTTGTATTTTTAGTAGAGACGGGGTTACACCGTGTTAGCCAGGATGGTCTGGATCTCCTGACCTCGTGATCCGCCCACCTTGGCCTCCCAAAGTGATGCGATTACAGGCTTGAGCCACTGTGCCCGGACGACTCGGGGGTTTTCTAGTTATAGGATCATGCCGCCTGCAAACAGGAATAGTTTGACTTGCCTCTATTTCTAATTGGATGCCCTTTATTTCTTTTTCTTGCCTGATTGCCCTGGCCAGGACATGCAGTACTATGTTGAATAGAAGTGGTGAGAGAGGCCATTCTTTTCTTGTGCCTGTTTTCAAAGGGAATGCTTCCAGCTTTTGCCTATTGAGTATGATATTGGCTGTGGGTTTGTCATATTTGGCTCTTATTATTTTGAGGTATCTTCCTTTAATACCGAGTTTATTGAGAGTTTTTAACATGAATGGAAGTTGAATTTTATCTAAAATCTTTTCTGCATCTATTAAGATAATCATTTGGTTTTTGTCTTTAGTTCTGTTTAAGTGATGAATCACATTTATTGATTTGCATAAGTTGTCAACCTTGCGTTCCAGGGATAAAGCCTACTTCATCATGGTGGATAAGTTTTTTAATGTGCTGCTGGAATCAGCTTGCCAGTATTTTGTTGAGGATATTTGCATCAATGTTCATCAGAAATATTGGCCTGTCTTCTTTTTAAGATGTATCTCTGCTTTGTTTGGTATCAGGATAATACTGGCCTCACAGAGTGAGTTAGGAAGGAACCCCTCCTCCTGAACATTTTCAAATAGTTTCAATAGGAATAGTTCTTCTTTGTACATCTGATAGAATTCAGCAGTGAATTCATCTGGTCCTGGGCATTTTTGGTTAGTAGGCTATTTATTACTGCTTCAATTTTAGAGCTTGTTATTGGTCTGTTTTGGGATTCAATTTCTTCCTGGTTCAGTCTTGGAAGGGTGTATCTTTCCAGGATCTCATCCATTTCTTCTAGATTTTCTAATTTTTGTGCATAAAGGTGTTTATAATATTATATGATGGCTTTTTGTATTTTTGTGGGTTCAGTGGTGATATCCTCTGTGTAATTTCTAATTATGTTTATTCTAATCTTCCCTCTTTTATTTTTTATCAGTCTAGCTAACAATCTATTGATTTTAATAATATTGTCAAAAAACAGCTCCTGGATTTGTTGATCTTTTGAATGGTTTTTTTTTTTTTCCTGTTTCAGTCTTTATTTCAGCTCTGATTTTGGTTATTTCATGTCTTCTGCTAGTTTTAGGATTTGTTTGCTCTTTGTTCTCTTAATCTTTTAGTTCTGATGTTAGGTTGTTAACATGGGATTTTTTTAACTTTTGGATCTGGGCATTTAGTGCTATAAATTTCCCTCGTAACACTCCCTTAGCTGTGTCCAAGAAATTCTGGTACGTAATGTATCTTTGTTCTTATTAGTTGCAAGGAACTTCTTGATTTCTACTTTAATTTAATTATTTACCCGTAAGTCATTCAGGAGCAGGTTATTCACTTTTCATGTAATTGTATGGCTTTTAGTAAATTTCTTAGTCTTGATTTCTAATTTGAATGCACTGTGATCTGAGAGAGTGTTTGCTGTTATTTCAGTTCTTTTGTATTTTCTGAGTAGTGTTTTACTTCTGATTGTGTGATCAATTTTAGGGTATGTACCATGTTGCAATGAGAAGAACGTATATTCTGTTGTTTTGGGTGGAGAATTCTGTAAATGTTCATCAGGTCCTTTTGATCCAGTGCTGACTTCAGGTCCTTAATATAGTTGTTAATTTTTTTCTCAGTTATCTGTCTAATATTATCTACGGGGTGTTAAAGTCTCCCATTATTATTGTGTGGGAGTATAAGTCTCTTTGAAGGTCTCTAAGAACTTGCTTTATTATACTGGGTTCCCCTGTGTAGGACGCATATAGATTTAGGGTAGTTAGGTCTTCTTGATTAATGGAACCCTCTACCATTATATAATGACCTTCTTTGTCTTTTTTGTTCTTTGTTGGTTTAAAGTCTGTTTTGTTAGGAACTAGGATTGCAATCCTTCTCTTTACTGTTTTCCATTTGCTTGGTAGATTTTTGTTTTCTAAATCCCTCTATTTTCAGCCTTGCATAGATATTTAAAAGGAAGTAACATTTTACAATTCACTTGAACAGATAAAATGATGACACTAGTAGATGATGATAGGGTGTTGGTGTTTGTGTGTGTGTGTGTGTACACAGTTTTTTATATATATATATATACATAGTTATATAAATACACAATTTAATACAGAGATCAATCACTATAAAAATAATACTGCTATACACACATAAACACAATACATATTTCAAAATGGAATGGTAAAACATGCTTAAGCAATTCTCAGCAATGAAGACAAAAGAAAACAATAAGGTGAAAAACATAGAAAACAAAATGACATCACAGCTGTCTTGTTTCTTGCTTGTTTCAAAAGTGCATGACATAGCCATAATAGGCACACTAAATATTATCTTTGACAAACCTAACAAAAACAAGCAATGGGAAAAGGATCTCCTGTTCGGTAAATGGTGCTGGGAAAACTAGCTAGCCATATACAGAAAACTGAAACTGGACCCCTTCCTTACACCTTATATAAAAATTAACTCAAGATGGATTAAAGATTTAAATATAAAACACAAAGCCAGAAAGGCCCTAGAAGAAAACCTAGGCAATATCATTCAAGACTTAGGCATCAGCAAAGACTTCATGACAAAAATGCCAAAAGCAATTACAACAGAAGCCAAAATTGACAAATGGGATCTAATTAAGGAGCTTCTGCACAGCCAAAGAAACTATCATCAGAGTGAGCAGGCAACCTAGAGAATGGGAGAAAATTTTTGTAACCTACCCCTCTGTCAAAGGTCTAATATCCAGAATTTACAAGGAACTTAAGCATATTTACAAGAAAAAAAATCAAACAACTTCATCAAAAAATGGGCAAAGGATATGAGCAAACACTGCTCAAAAAAGACATTTACATGGTCAAGAAACATATGAAAAAAAGCTCAACATCACTGATCATCAGAGAAATGCAAATGAAAACCACAATGAGATACCATCTCATGCCAGTTAGAAGGGTGATTATTAAAATGTCA
This sequence comes from Homo sapiens, assembly GCF_000001405.40. Lineage (NCBI taxonomy): Eukaryota > Metazoa > Chordata > Mammalia > Primates > Hominidae > Homo > Homo sapiens. Next base: position 94,965,215 of record NC_000006.12, on the reverse strand, counting down.
GGAAACAATAGATGCTGGTGAGACTGTGGAGAAATAGGAATGCTTTTACACTGTTGGTGGAAGACAGTATGGGGATTCATCAAGGATCTAGAACCAGAAATATCATTTGACTCAGCAATCCCATTACTGGGTATATACCCAAAAGAATATAAATCATTCTACTATGAAGACACATGCACATGTATGTTTATTGCAGCACTATTTGCAATAGCACAGACATGAAACCAACCCAAATGCCCATCAATCATAGACTGGATAAAGAAAATGTGGAACATATATGTGATGGAATACTATGCAGCCATGAAAAGGAATGAGATCATATCCTTTCAGGGACATAGATGAACCTGGAAGCCATTATTCTCAGAAAACTAGCACAGGAACAGAAAACCAAACACTGTATGTTCTCACTCACATAAGGGAGTTGAACAATGAGAACACATGGACACAGAGAGGGGAACAACACAACCAGGGCCTATTGGGACATAGGGTGATGAAGGGAGGGAACTTAGAGGATGAGTCAGTAGGTACAGCAAATCACCATGGCACATGTATACCTGTGTAACAAACCTGCACATTCTGCACATGTATCCTGGATTTTGTTTTTAGAAGAAATAAAGAGAAAAAAAATAAAAAAATTTTAAAAAATCATAAAATAAAAATAAATAAACAAATAAATAAATAAAATGAGACATTTGGGATTTGAAATGGATCACAAAAGAGGACAATCCTGCATGTATTTAAATGCATAGACAGCATATTTTATGCACATAATTATTTTAGTTCTTTTAATTATTATTTCTTAACTGCTTTTTAAAAAATGGCTGCCTAACCAAGCAGTGGAAGTTGAGGTTCTGTTGTGTCAATAAAAATAACCATGAAGTACAAAACTAAATAAATACATAAATAAAAATAAAAATAAATAAAACAGATATACCAGAATATAAAATTTATCAGTATAAAATATAAAATTCACTTTTGAAAGATTTCTGCTATGGCTTAGAACGTTTAAAAATTCTCCTCTGGTATCTTTCTTCAATAACCTGTCATAGGGCAATCTCTGAATGTTCTTCATAATAATGAATCTTTTCGCTTTGAAAGTAGATTTGTGCAGAAATTGTGTGGAGTTATTTGGTACCAGGTGAAATGAATAAGTTATTTACATTCAAATCAATAAATAAGTTGTTGTGACACTGTTTTCAATGTAAAAATGACGTGCGAATGTATCATAACAAGACTGATTTCTAATATATCTTGTAAACTGTCCTTGAAAACATTTTTCACAAAGGCATATAAAAGTAACCTGAATAATGATACCATCTTTGACTACATGTAAAGCTTTTGGAAGTCTCGATAAAGGTTTCATATGATTTAAACATAAATTCTTATTACTTTATAAAGAAGCAAAGAAAATGGTGAAAAATACATGAAGAAACGTTTCACCAAATGAGCACATAAATTGTGCTAAATGGCAAATAAGCACATAAAAATATGTTCAACATTTTTAGCCATTAGATAAGTGCAAATTTAAACCAAAATAAGATATAGCTATATCTGGATGGCTAAGTTTAAAAGCAGAAATAGCAACAAGACCAACTGCTGGTAAAGATGCAGAAAAACTAGGTCATTTATTCATTATTTGTGTAAATGTAAAATGATAAGCCACTTGAGAAAATAGTGTGGTGGTTTCTTATAAAACTAAATATTCAATTAATATAAGACCAAGAAATTGTGTTGCTAGGCATTGATCACACAAAAATAAAAAGTTTCACTGACACAAAATCTTATAGACACATATCTACAGCAACTTTATCTCTTAATAGTCCAAATCAATAACAACTCAGATGTTTTCACAAGGTAATTGATTAAACAAATGGTGGTACAGTCATACCATAGAATACGGCTCAGCAATAAAAAGGATCAAACTGCAGTACGGATACCTACAGAGCTTAGATGACTCTCCAGATAATTATTTGAACGGAAAAAACTCACAGTTTCCTATTCCATCAACTAAGGATGAGAAGTAGCCAGATTCCAGTCTCAATCAATTTGCAGACTTTTGAAGACAATGTTCACTGGCAAAACTAACTTGATTGAATTTTCCAATCACCTATTTGTATATATTATAAATAATTTTATAATATATCTTCTTGTTTGTTTCCCCTTTCTTTTGTTCATTTGTCATTTCTGATGGATGCATTTCTAAAAGTGATTTATTAAACAGAAAATTCCAATTAAAAAATTAGTGTTATGAAAATGTTATAATTTTTGTAAAATTATGCATGATACTAGATTTCTCTACATTCCCTAAATAATCGGTGTCCAAAATGAGTTTAAAATATTCCATTAATATGGGGATATTTTCTAAGTGGTGTTTAGGCATGTGTGACTGTAGGTAAATGAATTTAAAATCTTTAACTTGATTATTATACTTTCTAAAATTTCCTGCACCATTCTAGAAGTGCATAATGAAAGTACATCCAAGCTACTCATCTCTGGATGAACATGGAACAGACTTGTAAACTCCTTAAAATTTGAAATCAGTCCCCAGTTCACACAGAGACTCAGTGGAAAAAGTGTGAAAAATGTATTGGCTTAGGTGCTTACGAACAGTATGTGAAAGACAAGTGGTTGATTATTAAGCTATGTTGATCTCGTGATGAATTCTAAGAAGCCCAGGTTAAAAATGAAAACAAAGGAAAATAAAGCATGGGCATCAGAGCTTGCACACTGTGGGGAATATAGATATCACAGAATTCAGTCCTTCCAAGTCATTGAACAAATACACAACGGAACAAAATGACCAGTAACAGCAAAACCTGAGGAGTGAGGAGTCAGAGTTCAGAGTTGCTACAATGTATTTTATACTATGTTCAGTTAAAAAAAAAAATGTGACATGCCAGAAAAGAGAAAGTATGACCCATATACGGGAAAGAAGCAAGGAATAGGTACTGCTTTTTGAGGGAGTTCAGAAGTTAAACTTAGCAGAAAAAGATTTCACAGAAGTTATCATTCATTGCCATATAAACAAAGTAAACTATTTTTAAATAATTAAAGGAAAGTCTTACCAAATAGAGAATATCAATAAAGAGAAAGAAATTTAAAACTACAAACAAAAACTCTGTATTTGAAAAGTATAATAAGTGAAGTGAAAATTTCACTGCAGAGCCTCAAAGGTAGATGTGGAGCTGGTAGATGAAATAATCAGTGACCTTGAAGAAATATCGGTAAAAATTATACAATCTGAAAAAGAAAGATAACTGAACAAAGCCCAGGACAAATGTAGCACAGCATGAAATGCATCAATATGTACTTAATGGTCACACCATACAGAGAGGAGAGAGAATGGGGAAGAAAAAACATTTCATGAAAAATGCCCAAAACATCCCAAATTTGCTTTAAAAATTTCTACACATTTAAAACAGTTTAAAAAAACCCTCTAAGCATCATCAAGAAACGATCCATATACAGATGCATCATAGTCAAATTGTTGGAACCTCCCACATAAAAGAAAAATCTTAGAAGCAACAAGATAAAAGAGTAACCAAAAGAGAACCATGATAATATTAAAAGCTCTTTCTCATCACTTCTCATGAGAAACAATAGAGCCCAGAAGGCAATGGATTATGTGTTGAAAGTATTGGAAGAAAAATAATAGTCAACCAAAAATCCTCTATCCAGCGAAACTCTTCTTCCAAAATCAAGGAAAAATAAGATCATTTCTAGAAGAACAAACACAGTGCATACTTTTGCAAGAAGACCTACATCACTAGAAATTCCAAAGGATTTTTTTTTGAGCTGAAAGGAAGTGACCCCAAATAGTAATTCTAATCTACACCATGTAGGAAGAGATAACCATAAAAGACAGCATAATAACGTATTTTTTCACTTTTCTCCTCTTTTGGAAATGGACAGTCACTTTGTAAAATAGTTTGACAGTTTCTCAAAATGTTAAAAATTAAATTATTATATGTCTCAATGATTCCAGTCTTAAGTATCTATCCAAAAGCAATAAACACAAATATATACATATCAAACCCCCACACAAATATTCAGAGTACCATTTTTCATAATGGCCAAATAGTGGAAACTATCCAATTGTCTAAAATGAATGAATGAACAAAGTTTGTTATATCCATACGATGGAATATAATCAAAAATGAAAATAATAAAGTATTGATACTAACTACAATATGAGTGAATCTCTAAAACATACTATATAAATGAAAGATGTCAGGCATAAAAGACCACATATTGTCTAATTTCATTTGCATGAAATATCTAGAATAGGCCACTGTTTAGAAAGACAAAGTAGATCAATGTTAGTGTAGGGGAAGTGGGGAAGAATAAGGAGTAACTTCTAGTGGGACTTCATTTATTTTTGGGGCACTGAAACTGTTTTAAAATTAGTGTTGATTGTTCCATAACTGTAAATACATTTTAAAACATTTACTTTCAAAATTTAATAAATGAAATGAAAATATCACCTCAGAGGCTCAACAGTAAATGTGACCTGGCAGAAGAAATAATCAGTGACCCTGATTATAACTACCCCTACACTAATATTGATATACTTCCCCATTTTATATAGTTTTTATTTAATATAAACAAAATTTAATAAAATTTGAAAATTAAATACTGAAAATTGATATTTTTATGGTATAGATATTAAACTTCAATAAGTCTATCTTCTAAAAACTTTAACATCTAAATATCCAGTTTAAAAAATACACAAAAGAAATAATCTAAGGACTAAATGAAAATATAAATTGATATAGGGATTTTGAATCAAGCATTAGATATAGCAATCTTCCTTTTACCTCTGTAGTAGTATTTCAGGATAATATTTACCTATGTCAAGTTTACTTTAGTTTTGTTTTTCCTTTACTGATAAATCTGGAGGGTTGTAGTCTTAAGCGCTGAAGACATTTTCTTTATTATTCGTTTAATAATATTCTCCTCTCCGTAGTTTGATCGTTTTCACTAGAAAGTAGGATCCCCTGCGTTCGTGCTCTAAACATATACTATTTGCTCTTCTTGTTTAAGTTTTTGTATACTTTTGTGTTACTGATTTTTATTTGCATTTCCATATTGGTTTTTAAGAGATTAATCTTGTTTTCTTTGTGTTTCTTCACTAAATTACCTTAATCTTATTTATGGACAAAAACACTTTTTTACATCATTTTCTGCATATACTAGTCAGAAATTTCTAAATGTAATTCTGTTTCTGGCTTTATTTCTTTAATTATTCCACAATCATTTTGTTTTGGCTTTATGTTCTTTTTTCTTTTTAATATTTTCCTCAAAGTCTTGTCAACTATGACTGTACATTCCTATTTAAAATAAGAATTCCAAAAACCTGGCTGGGACTTCTATGTTTTTAGGTTTGTCTTCTCTGGTAGGATTTCCTTATTTATTTATGCATGTGTGCCTGCCTGGGTAACTGACTTTTATCCTAAAATCTCTAAATTGCCAAAATATGATGACCTTTTACTGGGTTCGTTTAATCTATCTGATGTTGGTAGGACAGGTGTACTTGACTGGGAATTCTGTTTTACAAATAGTAAGGCTTCACAAACTTTTTAGACACTTCAGACTATCTGTTAATCGACTTTCTGTTATTTACACTACAATTTGTTTAAAGTGGAATCATGCAGTATATGCTTTTAATTATTTTGATAATGGTATATTTCATGCAACATAATTATATTGAGATTAATTCATGCTATAGGCAAATCTAAATAATGTATTGCTTTCTATTGTTGTTTCAGTATTTCATTCTATTTTATTTAACCATTACATAGATATGCTACAATTTGTTTTTCTCTTCACCTGTTAATGGGAATCTGGATTTTTTCAAGTCTGGCTATTGCAGAAAGCTGTTACAATTACTACGTGCAAGTCTCTGTATGGGCATATGCTGTCATTTCTCTTCGGTAAATACTAGAAACAGAATGGCTGGATCATATGGTAGGTGTATGTTTTCCAAAGTGGTTGTACCAATTTAGATTTTCACTAGCAGTGTTTGAGAGTCCAGTTCCTCTGCGTCCTTGCCAATAGTATGTATTTTGTCATTCTAGTAGATATGTAGTTATATCTCACTGTAGCTTAATTTTTATTTTCCTAAGGACTTATAATGTTTAGCATTTTTTCATGTATTTACCATCTGTATATCTCTACTGGTGAAGTATCTGTTTAAATAGTTCACTGGTTTTTGTTTAAATTGGGTTATTTTTCTATTATTGAGTTTTAAGAATTATTTATATATTCTGGACTCAAATCATTTATCAGATATATGATTTGAACATATTTGTCTCTTAATACATGGCTTTTTTCAAGTTTTAAATGTTTTTAAAGAGCAATAGTTTTTGATGTTGATTAATTTTATTTTATCAATTTGACCTGTTATTGATTGTACTTTTAGTGTTTTATCTTACAATTGTGATGCTGCCTTTTTGTAAAAAAACGTATTTCTGTGTGTGTGTTTTTTTTTTAACAAGAATTGTGCAGGTTCTGAGATTTTAGCCTACTTTTGAGCCAACAAATTGGCCACCACACTGTTCTACATGCTAGCAGAAGATGAAAGATTTCTGGATCAGAAACAAAGGACTTTATTACTCATGGCACAGAAGATAGCAGGAGCTTTAGTTCTCCCTGCTATCTAAGCCCCACTTGTGCAATGTGGAGTGGAGGTTAGTGGGACACTGGACATAGAGTGGGTAGTATTTGTTTATGCATGTGGTAGGATTTGCTTATTTATTTTTGTATGCATGCCTGCCTGGGTAACTAAATGTTATCCTGAAATCCCTAAATTGCCAAAATATATGGCGTTTTGCTGGGTTCATTTAATCTATCTGATGTTGGCAGGACAGGTGTACTTGACTGGGATTTCTGTTTTAAAGATGGTGCTACTGCTCAGATACCCTAACCTGGAATCCTAATATTTTATGTGAGTCTCTATTTATGTTTCTCCTCCTACTCAATGACCTGGAGACTCTCCCAAGTTAATAAGCTTGGGTAATTAGAAGGCTCAACATGTTTCCTGTGTCTCAGAGGTTAATGTCCTTCATTATCTGAAATTCAATGTCGTGTAAACTCCTAATATATATATAATATATTATATATATTATATATATAATATTATATATATAATATATTATATGTATATTATATTATATATATTATATGTATAATGTATTATATATATTATATGTATAATATATTATATATATAATATATTTTATATATATTTTATATATATTATATATATAATATATTTTATATATATTTTATATATATTATATATATAATATATTTTATATATATTTTATATATATTTTATATATATAATATATTTTATATATATTTTATATATATTTTATATATATAATATATTTTATATATATTTTATATATATAATATATTTTATATATATTTTATATATATAATATATTTTATATATATTTTATATATATTTTATATATATAATATATTTTATATATATTTTTATATATTATATATATAATATATTTTATATATATTTTATATATATTTTATATATATAATATATTTTATATATATTTTATATATATTTTATATATATAATATATTTTATATATATTTTATATATATAATATATTTTATATATATTTTATATATATAATATATTTTATATATATTTTATATATATTTTATATATATAATATATTTTATATATATTTTATATATATTTTATATATATAATATATTTTATATATATTTTATATATATATTTTATATATATAATATATTTTATATATATTTTATATATATATTTTATATATATAATATATTATATTTATTTATATATATATATTCTATTGCTTTTTGGCTTTTTGGCTATTTTAGATATTATTTTTATCTTTTTCTATCTTGGCCAAAAGTGTACTGGGCTCTTTCCAAGATTGTGGATATATATATATTTAAAGTGATATCAGTCATGCCATGGTGCAGTGACTCCTTCCTATAATCCCAGTGCTTTGGGAGGCTGAGAGGGTATAATCACTTTAGCTCAGGAGTCTGAAGCTGCTGTGAGCTCTGAATATGAGTTGGAGGCTGCAGTGAGCTATGAGCATCCCACTGCACTCCATTCTGGGCAAGAGAGCAATACGTCAGCCCTCCCACAAAAAAAGTGATATCGTTCAACGTGTGTGTGTGTGTGTGTGTGTTTGCGCACGCACGCATTGGGTGCATATGAATGTGTTTAGGTGCATGTAATTCAGCTATTTTTAGTGAGTCCCATGAAAATGCTTGCTGTACATATGCATGACTTTTGTGCACAGGAATTTCTAAGAAACTTGTCAGTACATTTGTTGTGGCTTTGTCTTATTTACTCCACTCGAAATTAACAAATATGTAATAAGTGATTGTGATAAGATTGGTACTTTAATGCCTTCCCCTCACAGTCTTGACATATAAGGAGCTGTGGTAAACTGCAATAAAATTTCTATGACCTGTCTGGTTCATACAGAATCTCTTTAAATGATGGTAAAGCAAGCTTTTCTGTGTCAGAAATTTAGTCAAATCAGTTATCTATAACCATACTGATTAAAGGACCCTGGTTTTTAAACTAAATCTAATAATTTAATAGACAATTTAATTTTGCTTTCTGTTTTAAAGCATATTTCTATTAGAAAGTGCAATTTATGTTACTGTATTATATAAAATAACAATATAAAATGCCTATGTGATTTTTAAGTTTTGTCAGAGCAAAGTAAAACCTTATGTGACTAAGATGTGTGTTAGATTTAATGTAAAATGATTATTGTACACTATTTCATAATTTAGAATCATGAAACACTATTCTCCGTTTATAAGGTAGATTTCATGGTCACAATTAATCAGAATACTATTTAGTTGTTCATGTCAGATCCCATTGTATTTTACATTTCTAGTATATTGTGCGAAAATTGTTACTGGCCATATAGATGGGGAAAAATAATCTCAACTAACAAATTGTGTGCATGAGATCTATTAAGGCTAATCAATAACACGGTATATGATTAAGTGAAACAATGATCAAGGATCCAATTAAAAGGTAGAAGATTATTTCACATTGTAGGTTAATTTATTGTCTACCTTTTACTATCCCTGTCTAGCTCAGTCTTGAACTGTTGATTCATTGCGGTAATAAAACAATTAAAAATACTACTTACCACTCTGTATTATTTCTTCACATTTTTTCCCTTAAATACCAAGTATTTACAATTCTAGCCATCATTTTTTAAAAAATGACATTATGTTAATTATTTCAATTTTATTTGCAAAGTTTCAGTAATATTAAGATTTTTGAAAATTTTTAGCTGCTCAACGTACCAAACCACTTAAGGTTTAGAGAAAGAGGAGGAAATTCATTTTGACCATTAAGACTGCTTCCCACATTTCCTTTCCATTTAATGGTGTATTATAATTAAGAGAGAAATCACAGAAAGCCGAGGAGGAAAGAGTAAGCAGAAATAGGGGAGACATAGAATGGAAACTGACAGACTAAACCCCTCCCCAATCTAGCAAAGAGCAATTGGTTTTTAACACCATCAATAAAGTATGCCATATTATGTTCTACATTATAATGATTTAAGAAAGAAGCAGTGAGAGTTACAAGGATGTGCATGTGTCTAACTCAGCAAAGTGTATCCTGCTTGTCTAAAAACTCACGATTGCACCTGTATCTACTTGTTTGACACACAGGTGTTGCAGTCTATATTTACAAGACTGTCTGCCAGCCTAAAGACCCTTTGTTGTAAAGAGTGTAAGCCATTGTGATTATAGGCACATAAAATCCAAAGAAAGCTGTTCCCTAATCCTTCTGACTTCCATCTGTTTTGTTGCTACTTCTCAGGTATAATTTAGACAGGCAGATGTGCAATCTGGGAACCCATCCAAACCCACTTTATGTACATCCTTTTTAAGAAAAGAGAAGCATTCAATAATGCCTTCAGAAAACAGTGCTGTCTCTGCTAGCATTCTCTCCAATCTGTGGTTATATTTTATTCTCTGATCAAAATGTGGAAGAAATGTGGGTCTTGAGCCCTTGACATTGGTCTTCTGTTTCCTCAGCCCCTTTTGTCACAACAGACAGTGCTGCCAGTGGCTGCTGTCTCTAGAGCCTCCTCCAGAGAAAGTTCTTCACTTATGATTGTGGGTATCCTCTGCCTGACAGCAAAGGACCGCAGGAAAACTACATACGTTTTCCTTAATATGTATCTTCAACTAGCCCAACTGTAAAGGCAGTCAAATCTTTTACAAATTGACATAATAGAAAAGTTTAGGGCTTTTCTAGTACCCAGACACAACTGGATCTACAGAATGACTAAAAAACTGAAGCCAATCATTAAAATCCTCAGTATGGAGGACGTGTGAAAAAAGGGCAATAGACAAGACAGATTAGCTCTTCTATTATTTCTTTTTTTGTATTATTATACTTTAAGTTTTAGGGTACATGTGCACAACATGCAGGTTTGTTACATATGTACACATGTGCCATGTTGGTGTGCTGCACCCATTAACTCGTTATTTAACATTAGGTATATCTCCTAATGCTATCCCTCCTCCCTCCCCCTTCTGACCTGTGGTTTTAATCAGGATAGGCTAGGTTATGCTATGGTAATCAAATTCACCCTGAGACCCTGAGTACTCCAAAAGACATCAGCCCAGAATAATGCATGTGTCCTTACAATGAACTGGTCAGAACTGGTCATATGATATTTAACAGCAGGTTGGAAACAAAGTGTACTTTTCATGTAAGGAGAGTCAACCCAGATGTGCTCAGATGTTGGCCGTCTTCACCACACTGACTACATTACTAACCATTAGTCTCCAAGTTGGTTCTTTATCTTTTGCATTGTTTTCCATTTGGCATGAGTTCTTGTAAGGAAAAAAAAAAGTTATTTGCCTTTATTTCTGGAGATGTACAGCATTCAAATTTAGATACATTTTTCTTACTTGGTAGAACGTGCTGTGAGCTCAATAGTTATTGCACCTTCACTTAAAAAAATTTCCATGTTTAGACAAAGTGAGAAAATATTAAGTTCTTTCAATTATGAAATACCTAGTTTCATTTTCGAAGGACACTGCTGTCACTGACTTAATGATGCCTGACTTACTGAAAATGACGGCAGGACCATGTTTGGAGAGGTCAATTGGATGCATGAAAATGTGGTGGCAGATGGTGACATAGTGTGTGGGAGATAGAGTGGTGTGAGGGGGAATACACAAATAGAAATAAAAAGATTAACTATAGGTGACAGCTGCTGGTGAGGGAGTTGACAGATTTTTTTTCTGGTGTCCAAAACTTTCACCACACTTGTTTTAGAAATAGAAAATGTGAAACCAATGTTGGCACTTTTGATCTGTTTTGGCATTACCTAGAGGCCTTGCGTTATTTTCAACAGTATAATAAGCCAAGCATTGATCCTTGGAAGTAATTGACAATTCTGTAGAACTACTGTGAACCAAGAGCTCTTATCTCCTTTGCTTTCATCTCTTTAAAAAATTATTAAAAAGAAAAACTCAAGGTATCAAAAGGAAAGAAGCAGTGTCAAAAGTTTTGCATTTAAGACATTCTTATAATAATTATAATCTATATATACTATGAAGTTTCTTAAATATTGTTAGAATTGACAACATTTAATAGCAAAAATATGATTCATTGTATCAATATTTATAAATCAACAGTACCTGACACATAGTAGACATGTGTCCATTAAATTTACACAATTTAATAAAATGTTTGTTAGTTGACATTATCTTTCTTAAAATATAAGCAACTATCTAGATCTACCAGGTGAAATACAAAGGGATTTTTCATAAATGTTTTCTGTTTATGATAAAGCTCTAAAATTTTGGAAAATAACTTGGGTAAACAGGATTACATAAGTTAAAAAGGCCTTAGTGCAGGCATGCAATGTAGAGGAGTACAAGTAATGTCTTCTAGAAGAAAATCAGAAGGGGGATATAAACAGAATAAGATGACAATAGTAGCTGAAATGATTTAAGATTTCCTGTTATTTTTTATTTTTATGTGGTATAGAATCTTTAGTGGGTAGAAAGCTTTTTTGGATTTCCTGGAAGAAAGAAAACAATGAGATACAGCTTAAATGACTGATGATAGAATATTTATTGAGAAAGAGAGATGTTTATTTCCTTGAACACAGAAATGCCTGGACATTTCTACTACTCAGTATAAATCTTGTTAAGTTGTGAGGGAGGAAGTGGCTAGCAAATGAAAATTGTGAAAAGTTATAAACTGAGAGAGGTTGCATTCGAGGTGATTGATCAGTTTCGTGAATTGAAATCTCCTAAAATGTTTCAGTATTGCTATGTATTCTGATACAATAAATACACAGGTTCAAATGACAATGACATTTTTACTTAAGAGTCTCTCTGCAGTTTTGTAGAAAAGTATTGCTCCTTAGGACATTAGAAGCAGAGAATAAGATTTTGATATTAATTACAATAAATTAGGATGACACGAAAAGTTACATGAATAGAAGTGTCAGAGATCAATGGATTCAATTTTATCAATGACTGTGCTACATCTTACAGTCAATGTAAATGCTACAAAATGTGGTTGGATTAGAGAGAAATAAAAATACATATTTATTCCTTCAGTATAATGTCCACTGTTTATCTTTTTCAGAGACTAATTTACCAGTCTATGGCTGCTTTGCACAGTGAAGTGCACGCTGGAGATCATCAATATAGTAGATGTCTAAATCTCTGATATTTTTCTTTTGCAATAATATGACCCAAACTACCACTTTCGTAATCATATACTTCAAAGTCATTACAATATCTTTTACAGTGTCCCATTTCCCACAGATAGCCCTCTTTTATATTATTATGTCTTACATGTAGGTAATCTGGTATGGTTCCATTGAGTATACTGCAGCAACAAAGATAAATTATTTCCTTAAGAACTGTGAGATTAAATATCCACTTACTGAACAGGACAATCTTACATCTGAGTTCTTAAAGAGTGTCATATTTTGGAGAAATACTATTTAACTACGTACTGAGAAGCAGTAGGTATCATGTACAAAGCTTTCTGAGCTAAGTTAGGTCACCGTTTTTTACAAACTTTTTAATGATGTGTTTTACAATTGCAGTTACCATTATTGTAATTAAATAATCATTGAAGGCATCTATTTAGTATTGATTACCCTTACCAAATTATAAGCTTCACAGAACATTACTATCTTATTGAACCCTCTGTCCTTATTACCAAGCATATTGTTTAATTTATCAAGTCTCAGTTTCCACATATGAATAATAGAATATAATAACATATACTTTATTGGGAAACAACATGGATTTGCATTAAAGTGCAAGAATTCTAGAATCAGACAAACCTAATTTGTATCTTAGATATGGCAATTAGTAAGTGTGTGAACCTAGGAAATTCTCTAGAATCTCCAGTAAAAAAAAATTCATATATTATATTATTTATTCCAGAGTTTAAGTTTTTCGTTTTGGGGGATTCTTTTTCATAGATTCTATTTCTTATAGATACAAGTTTGTCTATTCCAATATATCGGTATTTTAGTCTTGTTCATTCCTTGATTTCCTTTCTCTGAATGTGGATCATGGTCTCAAAATTTTTTGATATGTCTTTTAGAAATTTTACATTATATATCAGATATTATGGGTAATAATTTTATAGACTCTAGAGCTTGTCATTTTTCTCTGAGGACTATTAAGGTTTTGTTTGTTTTAACTGACAGCTATCTTGGCTGAACTCAAACTCCAAACTTTGTCTTGTATGTAAGGTGCACCCATTGAAATCACTGTTCAGTTCAATATAATTTGTTAGCCTGCTTGAAGTTTGCCCAATTCATTCATAGAGCAGGGATCTGCCACAGAGTTGGGAAAAGTTTATGTTCAGAATGTGGAATCACCTCTCTTAGGAGTTTTTTCTTTGCAAAATTCCACTCCTCACATTCCAGCTGTTGGGATACCCCTGATATCTGTCCTCTAATTCCTAAAGTCATTAAGTTTGTCAGTTATATCCAAGTTCTAGATGCTTGTAATGGGTGCTCACTGGAGACTTCCTTCAGGCAAAAATTGATAGAAAATAGGAAACTCACTTAGGGCCATTCCTTTCTTCCCGATGTTGGCCCTTAGCCAGGTTCTGCTAGTTTTAGGTTATACTTTAGTGCCATCAGATAGTGTATTTTTATACTTTGTTTTAGAGTACATAATTGTAATATGCAGAAGAGGTAAACAGCCAAATTACTCCACCATTACCAAAAGGCCAAACCTACTCCCTGGACTCTCTAATAATTGTTTTCAGTATTTGTTCAATATATAGCTACATCATAATCATGATATCTTAATAAGTTGTGAAAATTAATGTTTAAATCATATATATATGTATAAATTCCTTAGATCTGTATGAGAACACTAATTATTGGCATACAATGAGTGGTCAATATGAGGTAACAGCAATTATAATAATTAAATCACTGAGGATTTAATTAAGAAATATAACATACTTTAAATAGTGAAGTATTATATTCTCACTACTCATTCTCACAGGATGAATTAATTTCATGAATATTTGGACAATAAGGAAAACATTAAATTTAAGATTATATTACTAGTCAAGATAGTTAATTTCTTCTAGAAGTTAAACCCATTCAGATATAAGTGTAGTTAGTGTACATATTTTGTCCATAAAGCATTTTCATTAATCAAACAACACAGTACATCAATCACAATAGATTTTTAACTTAAAAGCTTTGACATAGTTGGGTAGCAAGTATCATCTTTGTTTCTTTATATTAACAAAACTGAAGGCTAGACTTTAAGCAGTTTATCAAAACTATATAGAAAATATTTACATCAGTCAGTTGGAAAATTTCAGTAAGCACTCTAAACGTCCCATTCCCTCTGTGATCTTACCTCTATTTTTTTTCTTTAAATACAATTTCAGATTCTAGGAAGCAGTATTCTGTTATTTTTTCTGCACTCAATAGAAGATGCTGGTGATTTTGTATGTTTCATTTATAAAGCATTTTCTATTTACAATGTAACTTAATTCTTACAATGCCATTGTGAAGAAGTCTTCCCACCTGTGTATATCTTCATTGTGCTAATGGGGATTATCATCTCTGTCCCTTTGCATTTACTTCTGTCACTGGGGATAATAAATATACATAACAAAACCATAAATTACATTTAATGACATGCTTAAATATGAAATAATTACTAGCATTATATTCATCCTGGCTAGAGTTACTGAATTTACCTTGTGAAAAATATAGAACAGTGTGAGGCAGAAATCATTTGACAAGAAATTAACAATGCTGATTTTTACACACCTGTCTTAGATTTTAAAATAAGTTAAAAGAAAAAAAAGATAGAAAATTGCTTCACATCTGGAGAATTTTTCTGGGATTTACTCTTATTTTATATTTGTTTTGGGTATTTATTGACCATTCTTAAGACATTACATTTATTTCTCTATATAAAAATGCATCCTTGTTAGACATATTTAAAACATTTTAGGGCTTTATTAAAGTATATTTTCCAAAACTGTTTATATTTATGTTGTACAATTTAGTGTTTTGATATATGCATACATTCTGAAATGATTGAATCAAGATAATTAACACATCCATCACCTCAAATTCCCTTTTTTGTGGTGAGAATAGTTAACATACACTCTCTTACCAATTTTTAGTATACAATACATTGTTGTTGTTTTTTTTTTTTTTTTTTTTTTTTTTTTTTTTTGAGACGGAGTCTCGCTCTGTCGCCCAGGCCGGACTGCGGACTGCAGTGGCGCAATCTCGGCTCACTGCAAGCTCCGCTTCCCGGGTTCACGCCATTCTCCTGCCTCAGCCTCCCGAGTAGCTGGGACTACAGGCGCCCGCCACCGCGCCCGGCTAATTTTTTGTATTTTTAGTAGAGACGGGGTTTCACCTTGTTAGCCAGGATGGTCTCGATCTCCTGACCTCATGATCCACCCGCCTCGGCCTCCCAAAGTGCTGGGATTACAGGCGTGAGCCACCGCGCCCGGCCACATTGTTGTTACTGTACAATACACATACAGCATTTATTTCAACTAATGAGAAATTGGTACCCCTTAATCAACATTTCACTGTCCCCCTTACCCACGTGGCCTTTGCCAATCATCATTTTACTATCTGTTTCTTTGAGTTTGACATTTTATATTCCACATGTAAGTGAGATAATACAGTATCTGTCTTTCTGTTTCTAGCTTCATTTAATTAGCATAATGTTCTCCTCTTTCACCCATGTAGTCACGAATGACAGAATGTCTTTTTTGGGAGGCTGAATAGTATTCCAATTTGTGTATGTGTTGTGTGCATGTGCATGTATATTGCTAAGCAATATATCTGAGAC
The DNA here is from genome assembly GCF_000001405.40 of Homo sapiens. Taxonomy (NCBI): domain Eukaryota; kingdom Metazoa; phylum Chordata; class Mammalia; order Primates; family Hominidae; genus Homo; species Homo sapiens. The sequence continues at coordinate 94,948,811 of NC_000006.12, read as the reverse complement.
AGGTCTTAGTCAATTTAGGAAGTTTATTTTGCCAAAGTTAAGGGTATGTACTTGTGATACAGCCTCAGGAGGTCCTGACAAAGGGTGCCCAAGGTGGTTCAGGTACAACCTGGTTTCATACAATTTGGGGAGACATGAAACACCAATCAATATATGTAAGATAAACCTTCATTAGGTCCAGAAAGCTGGGACAACTGGAAGCAAAGGCAGGGCGATTTGAAGTGGGGAGGTGGCTTCCAGGTCATAGGTAGATAAGGGGTGAATGGTTGCATTCTTTTGAGTTTCTGATTAGCTTTTCCAAAGGAGGCAATCAGGTATGCATTTATCTCAGTGAGCAGAGAGATGACTTCGAATAGGACAGGAGGCAGGTTTACCCTAAGCAGTTCCCAGCTTGACTTTTTCCTTTAGCTTAGTAATTTTGGAGACCCAAGATTTATTTTCCTTTCACCATATAAATAAAAGAAATGTGTGCATATATATATATATATATATATATATATATATATGCACACATATCCAGGATATATGTATGTATGTATATATATGTGCACACATTTCTTTTATTCATCCATATGTCAATGGAAACAGGTCAATTCCAGATCTTGGCCATTGTGAATATTGCTGCAGTGAGCATGGGTGTTCAGATATCTCTTTTTTTTTTTTTTATTATACTTTAAGTTTTAGAGTACACATGCACATTGTGCAGGTTAGTTACATATGTATACATGTGCCATGCTGGTGCGCTGCACCCACTAACTCGTCATCTAGCATTAGGTATATCTCCCGATGCTATACCTCCCCTCTCCCCCCACCCCACAACAGTCCCCAGAGTGTGATATTCCCCTTCCTGTGTCCATGTGATCTCATTGTTCAATTCCCACCTATGAGTGAGAATATGTGGTGTTTGGTTTTTTGTTCTTGTGATAATTTACTGAGAATGATGATTTCCAATTTCATCCATGTCCCTACAAAAGACATGAACTCATCATTTTTTATGGCTGCATAGTATTCCATGGTGTATATGTCCCACATTTTCTTATCCAGTCTATCATTGTTGGACATTTGGGTTGGTTCCAAGTCTTTGCTATTGTGAATAATGCCGCAATAAACATACGTGTGCATGTGTCTTTATAGCAGCATGATTTATAGTCCTTTGGGTATATACCCAGTAATGGGATGGCTGGGTCAAATGGTATTTCCAGTTCCAGATCCCTGAGGAATCGCCACACTGACTTCCACAATGGTTGAACTAGTTTACAGTCACACCAACAGTGTAAACGTGTTCCTATTTCTCCACATCCTCTCCAGCACCTGTTGTTTCCTGACTTTTTAATGATTGCCATTCTAACTGGTGTGAGATGGTATCTCATTGTGGTTTTGATTTGCATTTCTCTGATGGCCAGTGATGATGAGCATTTTTTCATGTGTCTGTTGGCTGCATAAATGTCTTCTTTTGAGAAGTGTCTCTTCATGTCCTTCGCCCACTTTTTGATGGGGTTGTTTGTTTTTTTCTTGTAAATTTGTTTCAGTTCATTGTAGATTCTGGATATTAGCCCTTTGTCAGGTGAGAAGGTTGCGAAAATTTTCTCCCATTTTGTAGGTTGCCTGTTCACTCTGATGGTAGTTTCTTTTGCTGTGCAGAAGCTCTTTAGTTTAATTAGATTCCATTTGTCAATTTTGTCTTTTGTTGCCATTGCTTTTGGTGTTTTAGACATGAAGTCCTTGCCCATGCCTATGTCCTGAATGCTAATGCCTAGGTTTTCTTCTAGGGATTTTATGGTTTTAGGTCTAATGTTTAAGTCTTTAATCCATCTTGAATTGATTTCTGTATAAGGTGTAAGGAAGGGATCCAGTTTCAGCTTTCTACATATGGCTAGCCAGTTTTCCCAGCACCATTTATTAAATAGGGAATCCTTTCCCCATTGCTTGTTTTTCTCAGGTTTGTCAAAGATCAGATAGTTGTAGATATGTGGCATTATTTCTGAGGGTTCTGTTCTGTTCCATTGATCTATATCTCTGTTTTGGTACCAGTACCATGCTGTTTTGGTTACTGTGGCCTTGTAGTATAGTTTGAAGTCAGGTAGTGTGATGCCTCCAGCTTTGTTCTTTTGGCTTAGGATTGACTTGGTGATGCGGGCTCTTTTTTGGTTCCATATGAACTTTAAAGTAGTTTTTTTCCAATTCTGTGAAGAAAGTCATTGGTAGCTTGATGGGGATGGCATTGAATCTGTAAATTACCTTGGGCAGTATGGCCATTTTCACGATATTGATTCTTCTTACCCATGAGCATGGAATGTTCTTCCATTTGTTTGTATCCTCTTTTATTTCCTTGAGCAGTGGTTTGTAGTTCTCCTTGAAGAGGTCCTTACATCCCTTGTAAGTTGGATTCCTAGGTATTTTATTCTCTTTGAAGCAATTGTGAATGGGAGTTCACTCATGATTTGGCTCTCTGTTTGTCTGTTGGTGGTGTATAAGAATACTTGTGATTTTTGTACTTTGATTTTGTATCCTGAGACTTTGCTGAAGTTGCTTATCAGCTTAAGGAGATTTTGGGCTGAGACAATGGGGTTTTCTAGATATACAATCATGTCGTCTGCAAACAGGGACAATTTGGCTTCCTCTTTTCCTAATTGAATAACCTTTATTTCCTTCTCCTGCCTAATTGCCCTGGCCAGAACTTCCAACACTATGGTGAATAGGAGTGGTGAGAGAGGGCATCCCTGTCTTGTGCCAGTTTTCAAAGGGAATGGTTCCAGTTTTTGCCCATTCAGTATGATATTGGCTGTGGGTTTGTCATAGATAGCTCTTATTATTTTGAAATACGTCCCATCAATACCTAATTTATTGAGAGTTTTTAGCATGAAGGTTTGTTGAATTTTGTCAAAGGCTTTCTCTGCATCTATTGAGATAATCATGTGGTTTTTGTCTTTGGCTCTGTTTATATGCTGGATTACATTTATTGATTTGCGTATATTGAACCAGCCTTGCATCCCAGGGATGAAGCCCACTTGATCATGCTGGATAAGCTTTTTGATGTGCTGCTGGATTCGTTTTGCCTGTATTTTATTAAGGATTTTTGCATCAATGTTCATCAAGGATATTGGTCTAAAATTCTCTTTTTTTGTTGTGTCTCTGCCCGACTTTGGTATCAGAATGATGCTGGCCTCATAAAATGAGTTAGGGAGGATTCCCTCTTTTTCTATTGATTGGAATAGTTTCAGAAGGAATGGTACCACTTCCTCCTTGTACCTCTGGTAGAATTCAGCTGTGAATCCATCTGGTCCTGGACTCTTTTTGGTTGGTAAGCTATTGATTATTGCCACAATTTCAGCTCCCGTTATTGGTCTATTCAGAGATTCAATTTCTTCCTGGTTTAGACTTGGGAGAGTGTATGTGTCCAGGAATTTATCCATTTCTTCTAGATTTTCTAGTTTATTTGTGTAGAGGTGTTTGTAGTATTCTCTGATGGTAGTTTGTATTTCTGTGGGATCGGTGGTGATATCCCCTTTATCATTTTTTATTGTGTCTATTTGATTCTTCTCTCTTTTTTTCTTTATTAGTCTTGCTAGCAGTCTATCAATTTTGTTGATCCTTTCAAAAAACCAGCTCCTGGATTCATTAATTTTTTGAAGGGTTTTTTGTGTCTCTATTTCCTTCAGTTCTGCTCTGATTTTAGTTATTTCTTGCCTTCTGCTAGCTTTTGAATGTGTTTGCTGTTGCTTTTCTAGTTCTTTTAATTGTGATGTTAGTGTGTCAGTTTTGGATCTTTTCTGCTTTCTCTTGTGGGCATTTAGTGCTATAAATTTCCCTCTACACATTGCTTTGAATGCGTCCCAGAGATTCTGGTATGTTGTGTCTTTGTTCTCATTGGTTTCAAAGAACATCTTTATTTCTGCCTTCATTTCGTTATGTACCCAGTAGTCATTCAGGAGCAGCTTGTTCAGTTTCCATGTAGTTGATCGGTTTTGGATGAAATTCTTAATCCTGAGTTCTAGTTTGATTGCACTGTGGTCTGAGAGATAGTTTGTTATAATTTCTGTTCTGTTACATTTGCTGAGGAGAGCTTTACTTCCAAGTATGTGGTCAATTTTGGAATAGGTGTGGTGTGGTGCTGAAAAAAATGTATATTCTGTTGATTTGGGGTGGAGAGTTCTGTAGATGTCTATTAGGTCCGCTTGGTGCAGAGCTGAGTTCAATTCCTGGGTATCCTTGTTGACTTTCTGTCTCGTTGATCTGTCTAATATTGACAGTGGGGTGTTAAAGTCTCTCATTGTTAATGTGTGGGAGTCTAAGTCTCTTTGTGGGTCGCTCAGGACTTGCTTTATGAATCTTGGTGCTCCTGTATTGGGTGCATATATATTTAGGATAGTTAGCTCTTCTCGTTGAATTGATCCCTTTACCATTATGTAATGGCCTTCTTTGTCTCTTTTGATCTTTGTTGGTTTAATGTCTGTTTTATCCGAGACTAGGATTGCAACCCCTGCCTTTTTTTGTTTTCCATTGGCTTGGTAGATCTTCCTCCATCCTTTTATTTTGAGCCTATGTGTGTCTCTGCACGTGAGATGGGTTTCCTGAATACTGCACACTGATGGGTCTTGACTCTTTATCCAATTTGCCAGTCCGTGTCTTTTAATTGCAGCATTTAGTCCATTTACATTTAAAGTTAATATTATTATGTGTGAATTTGATCCTGTCATTATGATGTTAGCTGCTTCTTTTGCTGGTTAGTTGATGCAGTTTCTTCCTAGTCTCGATGGTCTTTACATTTTGGCATGATTTTGCAGCGGCTGGTACTGGTTGTTCCTTTCCATGTTTAGTGCTTCCTTCAGGAGCTCTTGTAAGGCAGGCCTGGTGGTGACAAAATCTCTCAGCATTTGCTTGTCTGTAAAGCATTTTATTTCTCCTTCACTTATGAGGCTTAGTTTGGCTGGATATGAAATTCTGGGTTGAAAATTCTTTTCTTTAAGAATGTGAATATTGGCCCCCACTCTCTTCTGGCTTGTAGGGTTTCTGCCGAGAGATCCGCTGTAGTCTGATGGGCTTCCCTTTGAGGGTAACCCGACCTTTCTCTCTGGCTGCCCTTAACATTTTTTCCTTCATTTCAACTTTGGTGAATCCGACAATTATGTGTCTTGGAGTTGCTCTTCTCGAGGGGTATCTTTGTGGCGTTCTCTGTATTTCCTGAATCTGAACGTTGGCCTGCCTTGCTAGATTGCGGAAGTTCTCCTGGATAATATCTTGCAGAGTGTTTTCCAACTTGGTTCCATTCTCCCCATCACTTTCAGGTACACCAATCAGACGTAGATTTGGTCTTTTCACATAGTCCCATATTTCTTGGAGGCTTTCCTCATTTCTTTTTATTCTTTTTTCTCTAAACTTCCCTTCTCACTTCATTTCATTCATTTCATCTTCCATCGCTGATACCCTTTCTTCCAGTTGATCGTATCGGCTCGTGAGGCTTCTGCATTCTTCACGTAGTTCTCGAGCCTTGGTTTTCAGCTCCATCAGCTCCTTTAAGCACTTCTCTGTATTGGTTATTCTAGTTATACATTCTAAATTTTTTTCAAAGTTTTCAACTTCTTTGCCTTTGGTTTGAATGTCCTCCCGTAGCTCAGAGTAATTTGATCGTCTGAAGCCTTCTTCTCTCAGCTCGTCAAAGTCATTGTCCATCCAGCTTTGTTCTGTTGCTGGTGAGGAACTGCGTTCCTTTGGAAGAGGAGAGGTGCTCTGCTTTTTAGAGTTTCCAGTTTCTCTGTTCTGTTTTTTCCCCATCTTTGTGGTTTTATCTACTTTTGGTCTTTGATGATGGTGATGTACAGATGGGTTTTTGGTGTGGATGTCCTTTCTGTTTGTCAGTTTTCCTCCAAACAGAGAGGACCCTCTGCTGCAGGTCTGTTGGAATACCCTGCCGTGTGAGGTGTCAGTGTGCCCCTGCTGGGGGGTGCCTCCCAGTTAGGCTGCTCGGGGGTCAGGGGTCAGGGACCCACTTGAGGAGGCAGTCTGCCCATTCTCAGATCTCCAGCTGCGTGCTGGGAGAACCACTGCTCTCTTCAAAGCTGTCAGACAGGGATATTTAAGTCTGCAGAAGTTACTGCTGTCTTTTTGTTTGTCTGAGCCCTGCCCCCAGAGGTGGAGCCTACAGAGGCAGGCAGGCCTCCTTGAGCTGTGGTGGGCTCCACCCAGTTGGAGCTTCCCGGCTGCTTTGTTTACCTAATCAAGCCTGGGCAATGGCGGGCGCCCCTCCCCCAGCCTGGCTGCCACCTTGCAGTTTGATCTCAGACTGCTTTGCTAGCAATCAGCCAGACTCCGTGGGCGTAGGACCCTCCCAGCCAGGTGCGGGATATAATCTCGTGGTGCGCCGTTTTTTAAGCCCGTCGGGAAAGCACAGTATTCGGGTGGGAGTGACCCGATCTTCCAGGTGCCGTCTGTCACCCCTTTCTTTGACTCAGAAAGGGAACTCCGTGACCCCTTGTGCTTCCCGAGTGAGGCAATGCCTCACCCTGCTTCGGCTCGCGCACAGTGCGCACACACACTGACCTGCGCCCACTGTCTGGCACTCCCTAGTGAGATGAACCCGGTACCTCAGATGGAAATGCGGAAATCACCCGTCTTCTGCGTCGCTCACGCTGGGAGCTGTAGACCGGAGCTGTTCCTATTCGGCCATCTTGGCTCCCCTCAGATAACTCTTTGAGATACTAATTTCATTTCCTTTAAACATATGCCCAATAATGAGATTACTAGGTCATAAGATAGTCCTATATTAATTTTTTAAGAACCCTGCATACTGTTTCTCATAATGGCTGTACTAGTGTACCTACCAACCAGCAATGTATAAGAGTTCTCTTTTTTTTCTACAGCTTTGCCAGAACGTGGGGTTTATTTTGCCGTTTTGAAAATAGCCATTCTAACAGCTGTTAGGTGATATCTCATTATGGTTGGATTTGTACTTACCCGAATGATGTTAAGCTTTTTTTTTCATAAACTGGCTGTCCATTTGTATGTGTTCTTCAGAGAAATGTTTATTCATGTTCCTTGCCCAGTTTTTAACCGGGTTATTTGTTTTCTTGCTATTCAGTTGTTTGAACTCCTTACATATTTTGAGTATTAACCTCTTATCAGATACATGGTTTGCAAATATTTTCTTGCCTTCCACATGTTGTCTTTTCACTGTTTACTGTTTCCTTCGCCTTGCAGAAGTTTTAATTTAATGCAATCCCATTTGTTTATTTATGCATTTGTTGCCATATTAACTGAGATGATCACATGGTGTTTTTTTCTTTATTATGTTGATATATTACAATATTTACTGACGGGTGTATTGAACTACCCTTGTAACTCAGGGACAAAATTCCACATTTGATCATTGTGAATGATCCTTTCAATATGCCATTGAATGTGCTAGTGTTTTGCAGAGGAGTTTTGCATCTATATTAGCCTGCAATTTTATTTATTTGTAGTGTCTTCATCTGGTTTTAGAATCAAGGTAATGCTGGCCATAAAGTTCTTGGTTTTTCTTAGACGGGAGAATTTCTACTACCAATCCAATCTTTTTACTTACTATTGACCTGTTCAGATTTTCTATTTCTTTATAATTCAGTCTTGGTAGGTTGCATTTCATTTTTTAGAAATTTATACATTTCTGCTATGTTATTCAATTTGTTGGTGTACATTGTTCATGGTAGTCTCTTATGATCTTTTTTATTTCTATGGTAGCAATTGTAATATCCCCTATTTCATTTCTAATTTCATTTGGGTCTTTCATCTTTTTTTCTTAATCAAGTTAAAAGGTGGACAATTTCATTAAAAATACAACTTTTAGTTGTATTTACCTTTTCATTGTTTTTCTAGTTTCTATCTTGTTTCTTCTGTTATAGTTGCTATTGTCTTCTTTCTACTAACTTTGAGCTTAGTATGTTCCTCTTTTTCTAGTTCCTTGAGTTGCTTCATTAGGTTGTTTGTTATCTTTTGCTTTTTTAGTATAGACATTTATTGTTATAACTCTCCCCTTATCTCCTTAAAACTGCTTTGCCTTCCTTCTTTGGTATTGGTATGTCGTGTTTCCATTTTTTGTTTGTCTCAAGATATTTTTAAATTTTTCCTTTGATTTTACCATGACTGCTATGAAACTGAAACTAGATATCAGTAACAGGAAGAATTCTGAATAATTCACAAATATGTGGAAATCAAACAACACATTCCTGACCAACCGATGGATAAACAACTCTGACTGTTCCTGATATCATTGAGTAGTTTCTCTGTGTTTTATTATAGTACACCAATTTTCCCTAAAAACAATTACTTTGAATTAATTGTCAGTCAATGCATAATTCTTCATTTCTGGGGATTAGTTACTGGAAAATTATTGCGTTCCTTTGACCCACTGGTGACTCAGGAGTGTATTGCTTTATTTCCACATATTTGTGAATTTTTCAAAATTCTTCCTGCTATTAATTTCTAGTTTCATACCATTGTAGTAAAAAAAGATACTTGATATGATTTTCTTGAGTTACTTATTTAAAATTTTAAGTTTTCTTTTTTTATGTAATATATTTTAATGCAGACTACTTTATATAGCCAGTTTTTTCAACTGAGCATTATTCCATAAACTTTTCTCATGTTATAATGTAGTCTTCATAACTGTGGTTTTGTAATATTTCCAGTGGCTTCATAATATTTCTAGAGCAGACCAACTTGGGTTTGCTCAATCTTTCACCCTTTTTGAACCTTTAGATTCTTATAATTTTCCACTATTAAAAATAATGCTGTCCGACTGCAGTGGCTCACACCTGTAATCCCAGCACTTTGGAAGGCTGAGGCGGGCAGATCACATGAGATCAGGAGTCTGAGACCAGCCTAGTCAACATGGTGAAACCCTGTTTATACTGAAAATACAAAAGTTAACCATGCATGGTGGCAGGTGCCTGTAATCCCAGCTGCTCAGGAGGCTGAGGCAGGAGAATTGCTTGAACCTGGGAGGTGGAGGTTGCAGAAGCCAAGATCACACGACTGCGCTCCTGCCTGGGCAACAGAGCAAGACTTCATCTCAACATAATAATAATATTAATGATAATAATGCTATAGTGAAGAATTGTGTGCATATTTTCTATACTACATATAATTTCCCTGGAATTGATTCACCTGGATAATTTTATTATTAATATTATCTTTTTAATTTTTATTTTAGGTTGAGGGGTATATATGATGGTTTGTTATAAGTTAAACTGCGTCATGAGGGTGTAGTGTACAGATTATTTCATCGCTCAAGTAATTAGCATCATACCCAATAGGTAATTTTTTTTATCCTCTCGCTTTGCTTCTCCTACACTCCACCCTCAAGTAAGCCCCAGTGTCTGTTGTTTCCCTCTTTGTTTTCATTTGTTCTCATTGTTTAGCTCCCACTTATAAGTGAGCACATGTGGTATTTGGATTTCTGTTCTAGCATTCATTTTCTTAGGATAATGGCCTTCAGCTCCGTCATGTTGCTGCAAAGAACATTATTTAGTTCTTTTTATGGCTGCATAGTATTCCATGGTTTATATCTACCACATTCTCTTTATCCAATCAACTATTGATGAGCCTTTAGACTGATTTTATGTCTTTGCTATTGTGAAGTGCTGCAGTAAAGATACACATGCATGTGTCTTTATAGTAGAGTGATTTATATTCTTTTGTGTATATACCCAATAATGGGATAGCTGGGTCAAGTGGTGATTCTGTTTTAAGTTCTTTGAAGAATCATCACACTTTCCAAAATTGCCAAACTGTTTTACATTTCCACCAACAGTGTATAAGTATTCTGTTTTCTCTGCAATCTGGCAAGCATCTGGTTTTTTTTTTACTTTTTAGTAATAGCCATTCTGACTATTGTGAGATGGTATCTCATTGTGGTTTTGAATTGCATTTCTCTAATGGTTAGTGATGTTGAGTATTTTTTCTTATGCTTGTTGGCCACACGTATATCTTCTTTTCAAAGTGTCTCTTCATACCCTTTGCTCATTTCTTAATGGAGTTGTTTTTTGCTTGTAAATTTGTTTAAATTCCTTACAGTCTGGATATTAGACCTTTGTTGAATACATAGTTTGTAAATATTTTGTCTCACTCTGAAGGTTGTCTGTTTACTCTGTTGATAGTTTCCTTTGCTGTGCAGAGCTTTAGTTTAATTAGGTCTCATTTGTCAACTTTTGTTTTTGTCACAATTTGTTTTGGGATCTCCACCAAGAAATCGTTGCCAGTTCCTAGGTCCATTATCGAATTTCTTAAGTTATTTTCCAGGGTTTTTATACTTTTAGGATTTACATTTAAGTCTTTAATGCATCTTGAGTTGATTTATGTATATGTGTAAGGAAGGAGTTTGATTTTAATCTTCTGCATATGGCTATCCAGTTATCCCAGAGCCGTTTATTGAATAGGGAATATTTTCCCCGTGTTTTTTTTTTTTTTTTTTTTGGTCAGGTTTATCAAAGATCAGATGGTTTTAGGTGTGCAGCACTATTTTGGGGCTCTCCATTCTGTTCCATTGGTTTATGTGTCTGCTTTTGTACCAGTACCATGCTATTCTGGTCATTGCACCCTTGTAATATAGTTTTAAGTTGAGTAATGTGATGCCTCCAGATTTGTTCTTTCTGCTTAGTATTGCCTTGGCTATTCAGGCTTTTTTTTTTTCTTTTTTTGGTTTTACATGAATTTTAGAAAAGTTTTTTTCTAATTCTGTGAAGAATGTAATTGGTAGTTTGATAGGAATAGCATTGAATCTGTAAGTTTCTTTGGGAAACATGGCCATTTTTAGCAACATTGACACTTTCTAGCCATAATTATGGAATGTTTTTCCTTTTGTCTTGTTGTCTCTGATTTCTTTGAGCAGCATTTTGTAATTCTCATTGTAGAGATCTTTCACTTCTCTAGCTGTATTCCTGGATATTTTATTATTTTTGTAGCTATTGTAAATGGGATTATGTTCTTGATTTCAGTCTCAGCATAGATGTTGTTGGTGTATTGAAATAGTATTTGTTTTTGTATATTGATTTTGTATTCTGAAACTTTGTTGAAATTGCTTAACAGATCAAGGAGCTTTTGGGAAGAGACTTTGGGGTTTTCTAGGTATGGAATCATATTGTCTGCAAAGAGAGATCATTTGACTTCTTCTGTTCCTATTTGGGTGCCTCTTATTTCTTTCTCTTGGCTGATTGCTCTGGCCATGACTCTCAGTACTATGTTGAATAGGATTGGTGAAAGAGGGCATACTTTGGCCGCTTCCCCCATCATGATTTTAACTTTATATCTGTTGAGATTTGTTTTGTGGCCTAACAATATTTTCTTATTAATTTTGGTCTAGATCACCTTCCTGTTTCTGAAAGTGGGTTAATAAAACCTTCTATCATTTTTGAATTGTTGTTGTTTTCTTAAGAAGTATTAATATTTATATATTTTTGGCTGAATCAATGTTTGATAAATATGTATGTAAAAGTATAACCTCATGATTAATTAACTCATTCATTATTATATATCCCTTTACTTTCAGTTTATATGTGTCATTAAAGCTGAAGTGAGTCCACTGTAGGCAGCACGTAATTGGGTCTTGGTTTTGTATCCATTCAGTCATTCAATGTCTACGTAATCAGGAAGGATTATTTTGTATGTAATTCATTTCCATTCAAGGTAACTAATAACTTATTACTGTTATTTCATTAAATGATTTTCTGTTTTGTATACACTTTGTTCCATTCTTCCACTCTTGCTGCCTTCTTTTACAAATTGATGATGTCCTGTAATAGTACACTTTTATTCCTTTCTCTCTTTTTTTGTTTTGGCATGTACTATAGGTTTTTGGTTTCATGTTACTATGAGGATTACACAAAATATCTGATATTTATCAAAGTATATTTTAAGCTGATAATAATACATAAAAAATCTACATTTTTACTTTTCACACATCTTAATGGTTTTTCTCTCACAATATATATGTTCTTATTGTGTACCTCTTACCAAATTATTGTATCCATCATTATTTTTAATGATTTTTTAAAGCTATATATTAAAAGTATAAATGTTTTACACAACATTTTCACAATATTAGAATATTCTGTAGTTGACTGGGTATTCAATTTTTCAAGTGAATCTTAAACTTTCGTATGTTCTCATGTTACTAATTAGTATCATTTTGTTTCAGCTTGAAAAACTGTCTTTAGAATTTTTTTGTAAGACAAGTCTGTTGTTAGTGAACTCCCTTAATTTCTGTGTATTTAGGAAAGCCTTTATCTCACCATTTCTGAATGATATATGTTCCAGATAAAATATATTTTGGTTGGAAAGTTTGTTTTTTCCCCACTAGCATATTTAATACATAATCACATCTTCTCCTTGCTTATTTCTGCTGAAAAATTCATTTATAGCCTTATAAAATTTCCCTTGTATTTATTAAACTTATTTTATCTTTCTACTTTGAAGATTACCTCTTCATCCTTGATTTCTGACAGTTTGATCATAATATGCCTTGGTAAAGTCTTCTTTGTGTTGAATCTAATTCTAGGCCTTTAAGCTTCCTGTACCTGGATATTTACAGACACTCTTTGCTTTGCAATGAATTTATATTCCTATAAACTTCTTATAAGTTGAAAATTTTGTAAGTAAAAATGCATTTAATACATCTAACCTATTGAAGATCATAGCTTAGATTTGGCTACCTTAAATGTGCTCAGAACGTTAGCCTACAGTTGGGCAAAATAATTAAACACAAAGCTTATTTAATAATAAAGTGAAAAATAGCTCATGCAAATTTTTGAATACTATATTGAAAGTGAAAAAAAGTATGGTTTTAAGGACACTTGAAGTACCTTGGAGTTTCTACTGAATGAATATTGCTTTTGCAAAATTCTAAAGTTGAAAAATCATGAGTGAAATGATTGTAAGTCTAATATCTGTATATCTTTCCTCAGATATGGGAAGTTTTTGGCTATTCTTTCTTTAAGTAAGCTTTCTTTCACTTTCTTTCTTCTCCTTCTGATATTTCCATAATACAGATGTTAGCTCTCTTGATAGTGACCCATAAAACCCATAGGCTTTCTTCATTCTTTTTCATTCTTTGTTTTTACCCACTGACTGCATTTATTTATCTATCTATTTATTTATTTATTTTTTATTTTATTTTTTTTCTGAGATGGAGTCTCGCTCTGTCACCCAGGCTGGAGTGCATTGGTGTGATCTCGGCTCACAGCAAGCTCCACCTCCCGGGTTCACGCCATTCTCCTGCCTCAGCCTCCCAAGTAGCTGGGACTACAGGCACCCACCACCACGCCCGGCTAATTTTTTTTTTTTTTTTAATTTTTAGTAGAGACGAGGTTTCACCGTGTTAGCCAGGATGGTCTCGATCTCCTGACCTTGTGATCTACCTGCCTCGGCCTCCCAAAGTGCTGGGATTACAGGCGTGAGCCACCACGCCTGGCCCCTGCCTGGATATTTTTAATTAATCTTTATTTAAGTTCACCAATTCTTTCTTCTGCTTGATCAGTTGTGCTGTTGCTACCTTCTATTGTATTTTTAAAATTTAATTTTTGTATTCTTCAGCTTCATAGTTTCTGTCCTATTATTTTTTAAGATTTCAGTCTCTTTGTTAAAATTCTAATTTTGTTTGTATATTGTCTTTCTGATTTCACTGAGCTGTTTCTCTGTGTTCTATTGTTGTTTGCTGAGCTTCCTTAAAACAGTTATTTTGAATTTATTATCAGACATTTCATAAATGTACATTTAATTCTGGCTGGTTACTGGAAAATCATGATGTTCCTTTGGTGGTGTTATGTTTCCTTCATTTTTTCATGTTTCTTCTTACCTTGCATGATATAAGCAAATCTGATGAAGCAGTCATGCCTTCCTGGTTTCACATACAAGTTTTAATGAGTTTATACCTTTACCAGTAGTTGAGTGTGAGGGCACTAGCTGGGGTGTTGCATGGTTTTGTCTCCAGTGTGGGCATAGTGCTATAATCTTTGTGCACCTCTGTTAGTTGAGGTCAACATCAACAAAGATTGCAGGGGTCCTCAGTTGCCAATGTTGTGGGTATTCACAGTGGTTCTGAGGGCCACTGGAATATTTGGTAATGAAGGTTACCAGAGTCCTCCATATCTCTTTTTGTCTCACTGAGGGAAGTCATGGTGGAGGGGGTACCTCTTGTCACTGAGTCTGACTTATAGGAATATTTGCAGTGGCTGTGACACCATTATCTGATGTGCAGAATTCATGTTGTGCTCAGGGAGCTGGGGTCTAGATTGCAGGCACACATGAAGGAGGCATGGCGTTTGGGTCCGTGGTAGCAATGGCACCAATGTACTGGGCATAAGCATCCGTTGATGCCAAGTTGGTACCTGTGTTCCAGCTATGGGTGTTTGTGGAGCTGTCAGGGAACCAGGTTACAGAAAATGGAAGTGAGCAAAGCTACAGTAGCTCTGGAGTCTTGGTTTGGTTGCTTCCACTGGGTTGGTGGCTCTGGTGTCCTACTTGCAGATGTTCACAGAAATGCTGTAAAGCAAGATTCTGGACTATGGGCATGTGCAGAGCTAACATTGCTCTGAGGATCAGATTGGTGATGTGCCTACTGAAGCAGAGGCTCCAGCATCTGTGTCTTCAGGTGCTTATAGAGGAGCCATGAAGGTGGGCACTGTGCATGGACACACAGGCAGTGACGTTGGCTCCAAAGCCAGGTGCATGAACTAGCTTGCTGTGGCAGTGGCTCTAGTGTCTGAGTCATGGTCACCCTGGAGCAGTGGAGACAGAGTCAGGAATGAGGGTGAGTGAAGGAACATCATGGCTTCAGGGCCTGGGGTATAGACTAGCCCATAGAAACAGTGGCCCTGGCATCTGAAGAGTTAGTGTGCATGTGTTGCCTCTGTGGAGCTGAAATCAGGAGTGCAGTCATGCCCAAACAGACAATGTCTCCAGGCTCCTGCGAATGAACTAGCTGGAATTAGCAGTTCCACCGTTGCCCCAGGTACAGGCACTCTTATAAGTGGCAGGGGAGAAGGGGTCTGTAGCACAGGCATGCATGGAGTAATTGAGGTTTTATGGCCTGGGCTGGGGCTAGCCTGCAGTGGAAGTGGCTCCATTTTTTGTGGTATGGGTGTGCATGATGCATACTGTGCTTATGTAGAACTTGAGTCTTAATAGTGGGGATACATGGAGTGGCTGCAGAGCTGGAGTTTGTGAGCATACTTAGTGTAGCCATAACTGTGGAGTCTCAGGCATGTATGTGGTTGTGAAAAGTGGTGAACCCAGTCCTAGAGTAAGATAATAGTGGCTCCTTCTTAGATATGGGGAGGCAGCACAACAGCATATCTCTCTCTGATGTGTCTGCAACAGTGATGGCTGTTGGCTACCTCAGTAGTGAAAGCTGCCCACCTTATGCCAGACAGACAACTGGGGACCATGATGGCACCCACTATGCAGCTGATAACAATAGCCCCTACCCTCTTTGGTTCACAGCAGTCTCCAGATTACTGAGGTATGCTAATCTTCTCTTTATTTTTTTCTCTGTGTTTATTCTCCCTTGTTTTGCTCTATAGTATTGCTGCAGGTTCTTAATTAGACTCTTGAGCTCTCCCAAGGTTATTTTCATGCGTGTATAGCAGTCTAATTGTTTTTTGTGGATGAAATAAAACTGATATATCCTACTCCATCATCCTACTAATATCATTCTTTAAGAATAGTTGAATAATTATAAAAGTTTAAAGTATTTGCATGTATGAATGTATGTATATATGCACACACACGGTTCTTTACATTATATCTGCTTTTTCTGAATTGTTCTATTTTACATATACACTCATAGACAAACACTCCTACACATTACATTTATACATTAGTTATACCAGGCTCTTTGTAATTTACACCTCAATAATTATAGTAGACATAAAAATTTCATGCAAGATTTCTAGCTTGGCTAACTTAAAGGATATGACCGTGAAATGGAATCATGAAATCAATGAGTGAGTATCAGAATTTTATAGTGGCTGAGTAGAGGAGAGGAAAATAGATGCTCATATGTGTGTGTAAATGTATGTTAAAGGTAGACCTGGATTCCAATCCATACTCCACCCCATAGTAGCTATGTTAACACAAGTTAATTATTAGTAAAATTAGGATGCTAATAAACAGAATGCAAGATTAGATGATTAAATAAAAACACGTACTTTAAATGTCTCTTTAGGGAGAGAGGGAGCCAAGATGACCGATTAGAAGCAGCTGTAGTCCACAGCACTTATGGAGAGAAAGGAAAGGGATGAGTGAATGCAGCACTCTCAACTGAAATATCCAAGTTCTCGCATTGGGACTGATTAGACAAACAACTTGACCCATGGAGAATAAAGAAGAAAAGGGTGGGGTGATGGTCCACCAAAGAGCAACATGGACCCAAGGGAATCCCCACCCCCAGCCAAGGGAAGTGGTGAGTGATTGTATGACCCCGCCTGTGAAACCACGCTCCTCCCAGGGATTTTTGCAACCTGAGAATCAGGAGATCCTCTCATGGGCCCACGTCACTGGGCCTTGGGTCCGACACATAGAACTGTGTGAAGTCTTGGCAGAACAGCTTTTCAAGCACACACAGAGACCCAGAAGCTTTACATACTCTGGCCCAAGATCTTCAATAAGAGTGTCTGCAACTCAGGAAAGGTGGGAGGTCCATGCATACCCCTAGGAAGGGGGCTAAATTCAGGGAACCAAGCAGCATCTTTCTGCCAGCCCCACTTCCACAGCATCTCACAAGATAAGACCCATTGGCTTGAAATTCCAGCCAGCCAATGGCAACAGGGTGGAGTCTGCCTGAGATGGGAAGGAGATCCCTGGGGAGGGGAAGCTGCCATCTCTACAATTCAATCAACTCAGTCTTTCCAGCTTGCCAGCTTTGGAGAGTCCAAAAGTTCCCTGTGAGGAAGGGTCTCCCCAGTGCAACACAGCCTCTTTGCCAGATCGTGGCCAGACTGCTTCTTTAAGCAGGACTCTAATCCATTCCTCCTCATTGGGCTGTACATCCCAGTCAGGACTTCTGCCACTCCAGCCAGTTTTCTACAGAAATATCTCTAATTTCCCTCTGGGACAGAGTCCCCGTGGAGTGGGGCAGGCTGCCATGTTAGCTGTTCTGGCTTCTTTGTCAGTCCAGCCTCTGGAGCCTGGAGAACCCATACCAAGAAGGGACTGAAGGGATCCTCAACACAGCACACCTGGTCTACCAAAAGGCAACTAGACTGATCCTTTAAGTGAGTCCCTGATCCCATTCCTCCTAACTGGGTGAGACTTCCCAATAGGCGTCTCTCGCCACTTTCTCCAAGAGTGTTTGCACAGGCAACAGGTCAGTAGCCCCCTAGAATGAAGTTTCCAGAGGGAGGAGTAGGTTGCCATCTTTGCTGTTTTGCAGCCTTCATTAGTGATACTTCCAGGTACAGGATAAACCGAGGCAACTAGGGTTTGGAGTGGACCCCAAACAAACCACAGCCGCCATATGGAAGAGTGGCCTGATGGTTAGAAAACAATAAGAACAACATCAACAAATAAGACTCCACAAAAACCCCATCAAAGTTCAGCAGCCACAATGAAGGCAGATAAACTCACAAGGAAGAGAGTCAACACAAAAACACTGAAAACTCAAAAAGCCAGAGTGCCCCTTCTCTTCCAAATGACTGCAACACCTCTACTGAGCTAAAGGAGCATGTTGTAACCCAACAAAAAGAAGCTAAGAATCATGATAAAACAATACAAGAGCTGATAGCCAGAATAGCCAGTTTAGAGAGGAACACAACTAACTTGTTAGAGCTGAAAAACACACTACAAGAACTCCACAATGCAATGACAAATATTAATAGCAGAATAGACCAAGCAGAGCAAAGGATCTCAGAGCTTCAAGACTATCCTTCTGAAATAAGACAGGCAAACAATAACAGAGAAACAGAGAATAAAAAGAAATGAAGAAAACCTCCAAAAAATATGGGATTATGTAGAGACTATACCTATGATGGACAGGGGTACCTGAAAGATACCGGGAGAATGGAACCAAGTTGGAAATCATACTTCAGGATATTATCCAGGAGAAATTCCCTAACTTAGCAAGACAAACCAACACTAAAATTCAGGAAATGCAGAGAACCCTGTAAAATACTCCATGAGGAGGTCATCCCCCAGAACCTTATCATCAGATTCTCCAAGGTTGAAATGGAAGAAATCATGTTCAGAGCAGCCAGAGAGAAAGTCCAGGTCATCTACAAAGGGAAGCCCATCAGAATAATATCGACCTCTCAGAGGAAACCTTACAAGTCAGAAGAGAATGGCAGCCAACATTCAACATTCTTGAAAAGAATTTCCAACCCAGAATTTCATATCCATCAAAACTAAGCTATATGAGCAAAGACGAAATAAGATATTTTTTCAGACAAGAAAAGATGCTGAGGAAATTTGTCACCACCAGACATGCCTTGCACGAGCTCCAGAAGGAAGCACTAAATATGGAAAAGAAAAAATGTTACCAGCCGTTACAAAAACACAGTGAAATACACAGACCAGTGTCACTACGAAGCAACCACATAAACAAGTCTGCAAAATAACCAACTAGCATCATGATGACAGAATCAAATCCACACAATAATATTAACTTTAAATGTAAACAGGCTGAATGCCCCAATTAAAAGACACAGAACGGCAAGCTATATAAAGAACCAACTATCATCAGTATGTTGTCTTCAAGAGACCCATCTCACATGCAAAGACACACATCAGCTCAAAATAAAGGGATGGAGGAAAATTTATGAAGCCAAATGGAAAACAGAAGAAAAGCAGGAGTTGCAATCCTAGTTTCTGACATAACAGACTTTAAACTAACAAAGATCAAAAAAGACAAAGAAGAGCATTATATAATGGTAAAGCGTTCAATTCAACAAGAAGACCTAACTATCCTAAATATATATTCACCCAATACAGGAGCACTCAGATTCATAAAGCAAGTTCTTACAGACATTCAAAGAGACTTAGAGTCCCGCACAATAATAGTGGGGAACTTTAACACTGCACTGATAATATTAGACAAATTATTGAGACAGAAAATTAGCAAAGATATATAGGATGTGAACTATGTTCTGAATCAGGCAGACTTGAATGTATCTACAGATCTCTCCATCCAAAAACAACAGAATATCACTCTTCTCATTGCCACATGGCGCTTACTCCAAAACTGACCACATAATTGGAAGTTAAACACTCCTCAGCAAATACGAAAGAACTGAAATCATAACAGTCTCTCAGACCACAGTGTAGTCAAACTAAAAGATTAAGAAATTTACTCAAAACCACACAACTACATGAAAATTGAATAACTTGCACCTGAATTAATCTTGATTAAATAATTAAATTAAGGCAGAAATCAAGAAGTTTTTGAAACTAATGAGAACAATGATGCAACATACCAGAATCTCTGGGAAACAGCTAAAGCAGTGTTAGGAGTGAAATTTATAGCAGGAAATGCCCACATCGAAAAACTAGAAATATCTCAAGTTAACAACCTAACATCACAACTAAAAGAACTAGAGAACCAAGAGCAAGCAAACCTCAAAGCAAGCAGAGGACAAGAAATAATCAAGATCAGAGGTGAACTGAAGGAGATAGAGACACGAAAAACCCTTCAAAAAATCAAGAAATCCAGGAGATATTTTTTTTGAAAAACATTAATAAAATAGACCAGTAGCTGGACAAAGAAGAAAAGAGAGAAGATTCAAATAAACATAATCAGAAATGATAATGGGGATAATCACCACTGACCCCACAAAAATATAAGCAACCATCAGAGAATACAGTAAATAATTTTATGCACATAAACAAGAAAATCTAGAAAAAATGCATATATTTCTGGAAACATAAACCCTACCAAGACTGAACCAGAAAGAGAAAAAGTAGCTGAATAGGCCAATAATGAGTTGTAAAATTGAGGCGGTAATAAATAGCTTGCCAATCAAAAAAAAGCCCAGGAACAGACAGACTCACAGCTGAATTCTACCACAGGTACAAAGAAGAGATGGTACCATTTCTACTGAATCTATTCTGAAAAACTGAAAAGGAGGGATTCCTACCTAACTCATTCTATGAGACCAACATCATCCTGATACCAAAACCTGGCAGAGATAAAACAAGAAAAGAAAACTTCAAATGAATATCATTTGAATTCGCCTTGGTGAACATCAATTCAAAATCCTCAATAAAATATGACAAACCAAATCCACCAGCACATCAAAAAGCTTATCCACCATGATCAAGTAGGTCTCATCCTCAGGATACAAATATGGTTCAACATATGCAAATCAATAAATGTGATTCATCACACAAACAGAACTAAAGACAAAAACCACATGATTCTCGGCCGGGCGCAGTGGCTCACGCCTGTAATCCCAGCACTTTGGGAGGCCGAGGCGGGTGGATCATGAGGTCAGGAGATCGAGACCATCCTGGCTAACAAGGTGAAACCCCGTCTCTACTAAAAATACAAAAAATTAGCCGGGCGCGGTGGCGGGCGCCTGTAGTCCCAGCTACTCGGGAGGCTGAGGCAGGAGAATGGCGTGAACCCGGGAAGCGGAGCTTGCAGTGAGCCGAGATTGCGCCACTGCAGTCCGCAGTCCGACCTGGGCGACAGAGCGAGACTCCGTCTCAAAAAAAAAAAAAAAAAAACCACATGATTCTCTCAATAGATGCGGAAATTGCATTCCTTTATGTTAAAAACTCTCAATAAAACAGGTATTTAAGGAACATATCTCGAAATAATAACAGTCATATATGACAAACTCACAGCTAATATATTACACAATGGGCAAAAGCTGGAAGTATTCTCCTTGAAAACTGGAGCATGACAAAAATGCCATCTCTCACCACTCCTGTTCAGCATATTGTTCGAAGTTCGGGCCAGGGGAATTAGGTAAATAAATAAAGTATATTCAAATAGAAAGAGAGGATGTGAAAATATCTCTATTTGCAAATGACATGATTTTATATCTCAAAAACCCTTTTCTCTCAGCCCCAAAACTTCTTAAGCTGATAAGCAACTTTAGCAAACTCTCAGGATACAAAATCAATGTGCAAATATTACTAGCATTACTATACACCAACAGCAGTCAAACTGAGAGCCAAATCACAAATGAACTCCCATTTACAATTGCCACATAAAGAATAAAATACCTAGGAATACAGCTAACAAGAGAAGTGAAGGACCTCTTCAAGGAAGACTACAAACCACTGTTCAAAGAAATCAAAGATAACACAAACAAATGGAAAAGCATCTCATGCCCATGCTCATGAATAGAAAGAATGAATATCATGAAAATATCCATAGTGCCCAAAGCAATTTATAGATTCAATGCTATTTCCATTAAACTACCATTGACATTCTTCACAGAATTAGAAAAAATATTTAAAATTCATATGGAACCAAAAAAAAATACAAGAGCCCAAGTAGTCAAGGCATTTCTAAGCAAAAAGAACAAAGCTGGAGGCATCACGCTAACCAACTTCAAACTATGCTACAAGGCTACAGTAACCACAGCAGCTTGGTACTGGTACAAGAACTGACAAAATGACCAATGAAACCAAATATAGAGCCCAAAAATAAGTCTGCACATCTAAAACCATCTAATCTTTGAGAAACCTGACAAAAATAGGCAATGGGGAAAGGATTCCCTATTTAATAAATGGTGCTGGGAGAACTGGCTATCTATAAATAGTAAATTGAAACTGGACCCCTTCCTTACACCATATACAAAAATTAACTCAAGATGAATTAAAGACTTAAATGTAAAACCCAAAACTATATAAACCCTAGAAGAAAATCTAGGCAATACTATTCACAACATAGGCACTGGCAAAATTTTATGGACTCTGGATCATTATACCTTTCAATATACCAACTATTCATTTGTGAGTCTAACATGTAGAAAGTACCTAATCAGATTTTTTCAGTAGGAGCTAAAGAAAAAGGACCACAAAATTACATAATTTTAAAATTTAGAGCAGTAATAGAAATAATCTTGATTAGAGGGTTTCAGTTTTTGTAAAGGATCAAGTAGTAAATATCTTAATTTTGGCAATCCAGATGGACCTACCAGAGCTATTTAACCATTGTAGCACAAAAGCAGTCACAGATGATATACAAATAAATGGACAAGGCTGTGTTACAATAAAACTTTATTTACAAAAATAAGCAATGGGCCATACTTTGACAACCCCTAATTTAATAGTCATTTGGTCTCTAGAGAAACATACTGAGGAAGATGTATTTCCCAAGGTGAAGGAAGTCCAAAATTTGTCAGAGTGAGGGCTGGAATACTTTTAGCAGAAGTCCAGCTCTCTTTCCAGAAATTCAGAAACCAAAGTTGCTAGTAGATTAAATGTGTAATATTTTAGCATATAAATAACACAAGATTCCACTTAATATAACACATTAATAGTTTCACATCTTTGAAGATTGGTTGTAACTATGTAGAATAATAAATAAATTCAGACTTTCATTTAATTGCCATATCAAATGAATCAGAAATATAGTGTAAGTTATCAATTTATCTTCCCACTCCCTTTATCATAACTATTTAAAAATAATAGATCTTTTGTAGCTTATTTAGCAAGTCATAGCCTCCTTCAGACCTTAAGAGTAAATCAGAAACTCAAGATTTAAAGATTAAAAATAGTTCATAAAATAAGGTAGCACAATAATGTGCTTTCTGTGTCCTTGTAGAATAGGAAAAGACACAGGTGCCCAGTTTCACTGAACTTCAGCCTAAGTAGAATCTCCAAAAATAAAATCATTTGCATTTATTGGAAATAACATTGAAAATAGTGTATACACAATGTGTATGTCATATGCATAAATAAGTAAAGTAGAGCAGTTTAAGGATCCTGACCACCCAGAATCTGAATATGACATAATTTTGAAATACAATTTTTGCAAATGTAATCAACTTCAGATAATGTAGGCCCTAATCCAATGATCAGGAGGACCTTAAATACTCACAATATGGAACATAAAACATACTTAAAAATTAATGATCTAGATTAGCTTCTGTGTTTTGAGATTAAAAATCTAATAGTGTCGGCTGGGCGCAGTGGCTCACGCCTGTAATCCCAGCACTTTGGGAGGCCGAGGTGGGCGGATCATGAGGTCAGGAGATCCAGACCATCCTGGCTAACATGATGAAACCCCATCTCTGCTAAAAATGCAAAAAAACAAACAAACAAACAAAAAATCTAATAGTGTCATTTCGCTGCTATTTATCATCTATTTATTCATAACTGCCTATCATTGTTTATCCTTGTTTTGAATACTCTTTGCCTTGCATTACCACCTGTAAAAAACAAACCTATACTTCCAAACACGGATATTAATAAAATATTAACTTCTACTAAGCTTTTCCAGTCTTACCCTGGTGTAAATATGTATATTTACACATTTTCTGTTTGCTCATATTTCTTTCTCAGAGAACATTTTTCACTATCTTCCTTGTGAATACATCTATTGCAACTAGTTAGCAATTTTCTTGAGTTTAGGAACCATATTTTCAATATCCTGAATCTCCTAGAATTCTACATAGGTTAAAATGATAGAATTGTCATTAGAGCAAAATCAGAAAGCTAGATTGGTACATTTCTTCAACAGATTAAGAAATGTATCCTTATGCTATTAAATAAATTGACTAAGGTGTTTTGATTTAGCTTAATGTGTAGTTATATTTTCACTATATAGTGTTGCCTTCAGCATTTTGTAAATTATTCTTTCCTTGGCTAAAACATACATGGTGCTTATGAAACTATTTGAAATTATATTTAAGTAAAATAAAATAGTTCAAAATTGATGTGAAAGGAAACATTCTTTTTCCACAATAGAGTCAATTATTTCCCTAATCTTCTTTTCCATTTGGCTTCTTACATTTTCATTATTTATCTCTGCTCATTATCACCTCCATCTCATGACTAATATAAAAGAAAACAGATTTGAAGTAAATTTGAACTGCCATTTGCTTACTTCATGGAACCTTTGGCAAAAGTTAGTTAAGGATGTGAGCATTAATGATCGAAGTAAGAGCAGGGGATATTTGAGAATTGTATTCATCTAGACTTTGCTATTTTCTATTTCCAAGGGTAACTGAGAGTTGAACGATTCATGAAATGACATGCTCCCATCGGTATATCTAAAATAGTTCTGGTGGATGAGAGAGTTAATATTCCGAGGCCACATCTATAGGCAACTCTAGAATCAACCACTTTACAGTTAAAATGCCCTTTCTGATTCTTTTGACAACTGAGTTTGACACAATTGACAGAATTTATCATGTGTTCAACTCAAATTGGTCATTAAAGTAACCAAAAATAATAATGTCTTGAAAAAATGCCAAGTGAGAATTGTCAAATAGGTATGATCAGAGGGTTGTGCATTTTTCTCTATTTTTAAAATATAATAAAATAATCTTTAAATTCCACATGCATTTAAATATAATACAAACACTTTATGTTTCATCTTGTTTCCAAATTGCAAAGAATTTATACAAATATTCAGTTAATTCAAATATTAATGAGGCTCAAAAACAAACAAACAAAAACCTTAAACCTTTATAATTAAAATTAGTTTGCCCAAATCTCAGTTAGGAAAATCTGGGTATATCATATTAAATATAAATCATTGATATACAATGCTTTGATACTTACGATATTGTCTTCCTAACCTAATTAAAATGATGATACATGCTGCTTTTAAAATCCTTTTAAATAAATGTATTTATTTGACCTTCACAATAATACTGACACTGTGAAGTAATTAGGGCATATATTGTTATTTTTATTCTCATTTTAGAGATAAGAAAACTTTGATTCATTTAGTAAGTTTTGAATGCAAATTACATTTAATGCAACAAAATATCATGCTCCTTGTCCTACCCATAGCTGACTTGCCTTGGCATAAACTGAATATGCTTATACTTGGGTTTTCATTCCGATTCTGTTAAAACCAAAGTGTATGACTGTGGAAATTTCATCAAAGTGCTTTAAATGAGGACTAAGTTCTATTATGCATATAGTGGACTAATATATTTTTCAAATATCAAGTTCAATGTTCTATGCACCTTTCTATGTATGTGTGTGTATCAAACTCCAGAGATAATAATGCAATTCAGTGTTGAATAAAAGTAAATACTTAAACTTTTCACACATTAATAAATATTCTGAATTTCAAACATTCAATTTTGCAATAGTTATATAATTTTATATAAATGTGGATAATTTTTGTCAAGAAAACCTATTGGCATTTAGTGGGAGTAGTAATTTTCTGAATGTATTTTGATAAAATAGATAAAATGTATTTTTCTTCTGAAACATTTAAGGACACATTTATGAATCTTCTTTTGGAATTGACTTATTTTTATTGCTTCGCCGGTGGAAAAGAGAATAATAAAGAAACGGACATATTTGCTAATATTTATGCAAATTTGTCCATAGAGTAAGAGCCTGAAAGATTTCTAACTAGCTGATTAAATAAGGAGCCATTATTATGCTATTGTTATCTCTATATGTCAGGGTGTGTTTACAAAAAGAATTATGGTTTATGGCAAATGTTATTAATCAATTGGTTTTATTAATTTATGTTATAAATAAAATATTATGAGCCAAAACAACATCATTTTAAACACTGGCTTCTCCACCTACCTGCTGTCTGATCTCAGATGGTTATTTAGCATCTTCAAGCTTACTTTTTTTTAATTTTTTTTTTTAATTTTAGAGGGAGTCTCTCTCTGTTGCCCAGGCTGGAGTGCAGTGGCACGATCTTGGCTCACTGCAAGCTCCGCCTCCCGGGTTCACGCCATTCTTCTGCCTCAGCCTCCAGAGTAGCTGGGACTACAGGCACCTGCCACCACGCACGGCTAATTTTTTGTATTTTTAGTAGAGAAGGGGTTTCACCGTGTTATCCAGGATTGTCTCTATCTCCTGACCTCGTGATCCGCCTGCCTCCGCCTCCCAAAGTGCTGAGATTACAGGCGTGAGCCACCGCGCCCGGCCTTCAAGCTTATTTAGATATCAGAAAGATGAGATTTTAATAAGCATATCTCAAAGTGTTTAAAAATATTAAACGAGATTTATGTAAAGTAGATTATAAATTATTTGATTGCCTGAACCATCACTTTATTATATTTACCTGCTCGTTTCACAGTGGAAGAAATGACATGATGGCATGATTTTAGAAACTGACATCATTGTGTTTGAAGCTGAGAACAGGATAATTATATCATCTATAACAATGGAGAAAGTAGGTAACATGAATATTACAATGAGTTCCTAAGGTATAGGAAGAACTAGAAAGTCAGAAGGAGACATTGAAGCAGTCCAGAATTTAGTAATAGCAGGAAACCACTCCCATCTTTAAGGCTATAAATATAACGGAGAAATGGAGTTGCAAGAAGCCAAGAGCAGGACCACTGGCTGCAGCTGGCACCATGAAGGATAGGCCTTCCTGAAGGTTGTTGGAACTATGGAGAAGAGATAGCTACTTCTAGAGATACCCCCGAAGCAGGAAGAGGGAGGTACTATGGCTTCTATGTCCAAGTCTAATATCTTAGCAGAACCTCTCATTGGTCAAAACCACCTCAAATTCAGATTACAAGAGAGCCTGAAAAGCATGATTTGCATAGACAGCTCAAGGAATGGATGTGTAAGCAACTAACTCAATGGAACACATTGATGAAGTTGTCTGACATTTACATGAAAGTTTCAGTTAAGAAAAAGAATGATTGATTGAGACCAGAGGATTAAATTCAGAAGCAGAAAGGTAGCAGTTGAAGGTTAAAAAGTGAATTCTTTTATTAATTGTACAAAAATAATTTGACAAAAGGCAGGTCAATGGATAGAAGAAGAAGGAGAGGAGGAAAAAGAAGATGCAGATAAAAGATCCTGTAAATAAGTCTTTTAAAATCTGACAGAAAATGATCAAGGAGGATACAATTTCTCTGATTGCAAAGATAAGAAGAAGATTGAAAAAGAAGGGAGGACATGACACACAAAAAGCTCAAGCTCCCATTCTGTATATGTACATATGTATATGTGTGTGTGTATAGATATATATAACATTATACAGGCATACCTGGAAAATATTACAGGTTTTGTTCCAGATCACCACCATAAAGCAAATGTCACAATAAAGTGAGTCACATAAATTGTTTGATTTCTTAATGCATATAAATCTTCTGTTTATACTATATGGTATTCTATTAAGTGTACAATAGTATTGTGTCTTTAAAATGTATATATTTTAATTAACAAACACTTTATTGCTTAAAAATGCTAATGACAATTTTGGCCTTTATCAAATCATAACCTTTTTGTGGTGGAGGGTCTTGCCTTGATGTTGATGATTGCTGACTAATCAGAGTGGTGGTTGCTGAAGTTTGGGGTGTCTCTGGCAATGTCTTAAAAGAAAACAAAAATGAACTTTGCCATGTTGATTGACTCATTTTTTAAGCAAATATTTCTCTGTAACATGTGGTGCTGTTTGACAACATTTTGCCCACATTAGAATTTTTTTCAAAATTGTAGTAAATCCTCTCAAATTCTGCTGCTGTTTTATCAACTAAGTTTATGTAATATTCTAAATTGTTTGTTGGCATTTCTACGATGTTCATGGCATCTTCACCAGGAGTAGATTCCATCTAAAGAAACCACTTTCACTATTCATCCATAAGGAGCAACTACTCATCTATTCAAGTTTTATCAAAATATTGAAACAATTAAATTCCCATGATTTTCAAAATGGAAAATGAACATTGGCTTCAATTTCAAGTCATCAGTTGTATTAGCCCCCAACAAAAGATTCAGCCTGACCTTCGAAGCTTCAAAAACAGGCAACTTCTTTTCAACTATTAAAGTCCACAAGGCAGATTCCACTAACGCAGGGCCTTTAATCTACATGAAGAATGTGTTGTTTAGTGTAGCCATCTTCATGAATTATTTTAGATAGGTCTTCTGAATAACTTGCTGCAGTTTCTCCATCAGCACTTGCTGCTTCACCTTGCACTTTGTGCTATGGGAATGGGTTCTTCACTTAAACCGTGTGAACCAATCTTTGCTAGCTTCAAACTTTTATTCTGTAGATTCCTCACCTCTCTCAACCTTCACAGAATTGAGGAGAGATAGGGCCTTGCTCTGGATTTTGCTTTGGCTTAAGGGAATGCTGTGGCAGGTTTGATCTTCTATCCAGAACACCCAAACTTTCTCCCTATCAACAATAAGAATGTTTCACTTTATTTTTTAACATCATTTGTGTATTCTCTAAAGTAGAGCTTTTAATTTTCTTCAAGAACTTTTCCTTTGAATTCACAGTTTAGCTAATTGTTTGGCACAAGAGGCCTAGCATTTGACCTATCTCAGCTTTCAACATGAGTTCCTCACTAATTTTAAACATGTCTAGCTTTTAATTTAGGGTAAGAGATGTATGACTCTTCCTTTTACTTGAAAACTTAGACGTCACGATAGGGTTACTAATTGGGTTAATTTCAATATTGTTGTGTCTCAGGGAGGCCTGAGGAGAGGAAGAAACATGATGGAATAGAGAGGCAGTGGAGCAGTCAGGACATACAATGTTTATCAATTAAGTATACCATCTAAAATGGGCATAATTCATGGTGCCCCAGAACAATTATAATAGTAATATCAAAGATCACTGATTGCATATCACCGTAACAGATATAATAATAATGAAAAAGTTGAAATATTTTGAAAGTTACCAACATGTGACACAGAGACCTGAAGTGAGCACATGCTGTTTGAAAAATGGCAATTATAGACTTGCTAGATGCAGGGTTAGCACAAACCTCCAATTTATAAAAAACACAATATCTGAAGTGCAGAAAAGTGGCACTCAATAAAAGGAGATGTATCTGCATATTTAATACTTCTTATATAGAATACATTACATATACACACATTCATATATATATTTACGGATTTATTCATTTATTTACAAAGATATGGTTTGGTATTGAAATTTATGATTAAAAGGAAAGCAGAGCATAAAAGTTTGGAAAATGTGCAGCCTGACTATGTGATAGAATAGAAAAACCCAATTTTTGAGGAGAAATTCAAGCTGGCAGCTAAAATTTGCATAAGTAATGAGGAGCCAATTGTTAATAGCCAAGACAATGAGGAAAATGTCTGCAGGACATGTCAGAGATCTTCACAGTAGCCTCTTCCATCACAGGTCCAGAGGCCTGAGAGGAAAAAATAGTATGTGGGCCAGGCCCAGGGCCTTGCTGCTTTGTGCAGTCTCAAGACTTGGTGCCTTCATCTCAGTTGTGGCTAAAAAGGACTAATACAGAGCTCAGGCCATTGTTTCAGAGGGTTCAAGCCCCAAGCCTTGGAAGCTTACACATGGTGTTGTGCCTGCGTGTGCACAGAAGTCAAGAATTGAGGTTTGGGAATACACTGTCTTCTCCCCTGATTCATGGGGAAGCAGCTAGATTTCAGACAATGTTTGGAAATGCCTCCATGTCCCAGCAGAAGTGTGCTGCAGGGACAGGGCCCTTATTATGAACCTCTGCTAGGGCAGCATGGAAGGAAGGGAAACTTGGAGTCACATCCCCCACAGAGTCTCCACTGGAGCACTGCCTAGTGGAGCTGTGAGAAGAGGGCCACTGTCCTCCATACCCCAGAACGGTAGATCCATGACAGCTTGCACCACGTGCCTAGAAAAGTCACAGACACTCAATGCCAGTCCATGCAAGCATCTGTGAAGGGGATTGTACACTGCGAAGTCACAGGGGTGGAGCTGCCCAAGGCTATGGGAGCCCACCTCTTCTATTAGTGTGACCTGGATGTGACACTTGGATTTAAAGGAGGTAATTTTGGAACTTTAAGATTTAATGACTGCCCTATTGAATTTTGGACTTGCTAGGGTCTATAGCCCCTTTTTTTGACCCATTTCTCCCATTTGGAATGAGTATATTTACCCAATGTCTGTACCCTCAGTGTATCTAGGAAGTAACTAAATTGCTTTTGATTTTACAGACTCCTAGGAGGAAGAGACTTGCCTTGTCTCAGATGAGACTTTGAACTTGGACTTTTGGGTTAATGCTGGAATCAGCTAAGTTTTTGGAGGACTGTTTTAAGGCATGATTGTGTTTTGATATGCGGGGCCCTGAGATTTTGGGAGGCGCCAGGGGCAGAATGATATGGTTTGGCTTTGTTCCCACCCAAAACTCATCTTGAATTATAGTTCCCATAGTCCCCGTGGCATGTGGGAGGGACCTGGTGGGAGGTAACTGAATCATGGGGTGGTTACTCCATGCTGTTCTCATTATAGTGAGTGAGTTGCTATTATAAGGGGCTTTTCCCCCTTTGCTCAGCACTCATTCTCTCTCCTGCCACTCTGTGAAAAGCTGCCTTCCACCATGATTGTAAGGTTCTTGAGGCCTCCTCAGCCATGCGGAACTGTGAGTCAATTAAACCTTTTTTCTTTATAAATTACCCAGTCTGGGATACCTTTTCTTAGCAGTGTGAGAATAGACTAATACAGGGAGCAAGCACGTCTTACCATGATGGAGCTGCAGGGAGAGACAGAGTGAAGCAGGAAGTGTCACACACTTTTAAACCATCAGATCTCGTGAGAACTCACTCACTATCACAAGAACAGCAACGGAGAAATCCTCCCCCCATGATCCAATCACCTTCCACCAGGAGTCTCCTCCAATTCAACATGAGATTTGGCAGAAACACAAATTCAAACCATATTCCCCACACTGCTCCTCTTTTATTCTTCTTGGTCCAGAAGGAGAGGGATCCTTGTGGACTTATTTCTGTTCATATCTTGTACACAGAGCACGTTGGAATTTGCCTCTATATCTGGGCAGGCAATAGTAAAGTAAAAACTGGTAAGCCCAAAGTTTGGTAGAACTTCGTTTTTTTTTTTGTTTGTTTGTTTTTTTGAGACAGAGTCTCACTCTGTTGCCCAAGCTGGAGTGCAGTGGCACCATCTCAGCTCACTGAATCCTCCACCCACTGGGTTCAAGCAATTCTCCTGCCTCATCCTCCCGAGTAGCTGGGACTACAGGCAGGCGCCACCACACCTGGCTAATTTCTGTATTTTTGGTAGAGACAGGGTTTCACCATGTTGGCCAGTTTGGTAGAACTTCGAATTCTAGTCTCTTCCCCAATCCATCTGCTACCATTTAATTTTCAGAGTTCTTAGAAAGCTGTTCCAGTGGCTCACGCCTGCAATCCCAGCACTTTGGGAGGCCTCAAGGTGGGCGGATCACAAGGTCAGGAGATCGAGACCATCCTGGCTAACACGGTGAAACCCCGTCTCTATTTAAAAATACAAAAAATTAGCCAGGCGCGGTGGCGGGCGCCTGTAGTCCCAGCTACTTGGGAGGCTGAGGCGGGAGAATGGCATGAACTCGGGAGGCGGAGCTTGCAGTGAGCCGAGATCGCGCCACTACACTCCAGCCTGGGCGACAGACGGAGACTCCGTCTCAAAAAAAAAAAAAAAAAAAAAGAAAAGAAAAGAAAAGAAAGCTGTTCTATGCATTGTGCTCAGGTTATATAGTTGCATTCAGTGAGAGATATCAGGGAAAGTTTGCCTACACTATCTTCTCCCCTGATTCATGCAGAAGCAGAATCCCCCATTAATATTTAATGGACATCAGAAAGTTTTCTTTTTGTAATTTTGTTTAGAAAATGATGTTGAACTTGTAATTGCTAAGAATACATTTTTGAAACAGTTAACTAAAAACACAATATAGACAATTAGAAAATAAATATGTGTTATCAGTGACTGATATACAAATTGGTAGTAAATTTAGCTTTGGGAAATAACTGATAACAGATTAACCTTTTGACTGCTCAATCAATAAAGACACAATCAGTGACTCTTTTGCACATGTAACATTGTATTTCTTAATTCATAAAAAACATTCTTTTGGATACATACAATGCCAGAAGAAAAGGGAAAAGGAAAAATTTATTGAGAAAAAATTCAAACATGATTTACCAGTAACTTCAAATAACCCAATTGGTTTTTACTCCTTTTGCACACATGGGATATGGAGGTAAATAATACATTAATAATTGGGGTTTAGCTATATATTCAAAAGTCAAAACATTCTAGGGCTTATCTTTAGTTCAGTAGGGACTAACACCAATATCCCATACACTCTATAATTTCAATTCCATCACTATGCAATGAGGATTGATGCTAAGAACGATGAGCCTGAGGCATTGCAGATTCTGAATTATCACAGATTCAATTATCTTCAGACTCATGAACTTGCTAAGGTGAATAAAAAGACTAATGTATTTTAGAAATATTTTAAAATAATGAGAATTGACCTGAAATGATTGGGGATTTAATTCTTAGTTATTCATGGACTTTTATTAACCATATTAGCCAAATTTTTAAAGCATTACTGACAACCGAGATTTTTCCGACATATAATCGTCTGGCTTGGAATTTGCTTTGAATTTTAAAAATATCTTTGAAGAGAAAGCTCAGAAGTTTGTTCTTTTGTGATAGTAAGAAGTTTCTCTTTGATGCTTATTCAATTATTTTGTTTTTTGTTTTGTCTTGTTAATTAGATAGAATAACATAGCTTCTGTGTATTTGTCAAAATGATAATATCTGGAAAAGTTAAATAGATATTGTTATTCACTTCTTAATTATTCCATGTCTAAACAGTTGTTTTTATTCATAGGTATGAAGACAGTTTTAAAGAGAAAACAATAATCAACTGAAACTAATATTCTTTGAAATTTTGTACTATATATTTAGATATGCAATCATATTCCTTTTTTATCTTATTGGATACTTACAAGTAAGACCTCTGAAAATTGTCTATTTATGGGATAATATATTTTATTCCTGAAACCAATCATACATTATGCAATATGGAAATTATAGTACAGCTTTTTAATATCAAATTCATAACTAGATATCCTGCTCAGTCAGATATCATTAGCCTTTAATCTTTTAACATACTGTATGCTACTTGAACATTAACTATTTCTGGTACTATTTCTCAGAATAAGCTATATAGGCATGTTGAAATAAAACAATACATGAATTATCTGATAATATTTTAAACAGAACAAAGCACACGAACACAATGTTTTAATCTCTAATTTTACCATTTATTTTGTCAAACTTTTGTTTAATTTTTAGAATGCACAGAAGATAGTCATAAATGTTGGATTGTTTCCTTAAGTTGAGAATGGCTGAGCCATTTGAGATGTTTCTTCTAAACTGTGACTCAAACATGCCATGTTAAAAAAATAAAAACAGACAATTAGACTTTGGTCAAGAAAGGGATTATTTTGTATAAAACAAAATGTCTCTATCTGAAGCATTTTTAAACTTGATATGACTCATTCTTCATTGCATAGTAAGCATTCAAATTGTTTACACCCATTATTGATTAATTTTTCTCAAAGGTGAACAAATATTTTAAAGATATGCAGAGGAAAGAAAGTAGAATTGCACTAGAAAATTGCAGCATCTGTGTTTCAAATCTTTTATCCTCAGGTGAATTTTCTAGGAGAAAAATTATGTAGAACGAATATGATATGAACAAAAACTCTGTTTGCCAATAAGGATAATATAAATCCCTAGGAAGAGGCCATGTAGTAGCCCTAAATTAATATAAACTTAGAGGTTATCTTAAAGATGTGATTATGTGAGACCCTGGGTGAGTGCAGGAAATTCTAAAGGTCATAACATAAGACAGTGTAGAACTATATCTAAATGCCTGTTGCCTGATTCAGAGTAATTGGTTCTTTGCACTATATGTGCTTTTTCCCAATTAGTGGTTTTATTTTTCTCTATTTAATACAAATATCTTAGTATTTTACTTACTACTCCTGCTGATATTCTCACTTGATTTCTATTTTTGTTTATATGTTTTTGTTTCAGATTTCCTGCCCCTTCACTTTTTATTGATTAATATATTTATTCATTCAACACCTATTTAGAGAATATTTACTTTGTGTTAGACAGTGCTATAGGGGTTTATAATATAAAGGTGAACAAACCAGTAATGGATTCCTGCCCATGTGTTAGAGGAAATAAATACTATGGGAAAGGAAATATAACATAGGGTGATGGAGAATTGTGAGGGTCAGAGGAAAGTAGACGGATTGCAATGTAAGATGAAGTGGTCAGAGTGGGTCTCATTGGAAAGGGAATCTTTAAAACAGATTGAAAGGGTATCAGGGAATTAACCTACACAAAGAGCATTCCAGGCAAGGGAGATAGCCAGTAAAAAGGGCCTCAGGTGGGCATGTGCCTAGCACGTTCCAGGAGCAGCAAGGGGCCAGTGAGACAAGGGAAAGAATAATTCTGAAACCAGCCAGAACGTTAATGAGATACTGGATCATAAAGGGCTTTATAAGCCACTAATGATGTTGAATTTTACTTTGCTCAAGAGGTACAACCCCTGACAGTTTTTGAGCAGAGGGATGACATGATTTAATCTGAGTTTTAAAAAATTACTTTGGTCGGGCACGGTGGCTCACTCCTGTAATCCCAACACTTTGGGAGGCCAAGAAGGGCAGATCATTTGAGGTCAGGAGTTCGAGACCAGCCTGGCCAACACAGTGAAACCCCGTGTCTACTAAAAACACAAAAAATAACCGGGCATGGTGGCGGGTGCCTGTAGTCCCAGCTACTCAGGAGGCTGAGGCAGGAGAATCTCTTGAACCCGGGAAGCAGAGGTTGCAGTGAGCCAAGATCGTGCCACTGCACTCCAGCCTGGGCAACAGAGCAAGACTCTTAGTAAATAAATAAATAAATAAATAAATGAATAAATAAATAACTTTGGCCGTTGTATTCAAACTATACTATAGTTGAGCATGGTAAGGAGAGAACAGCTATGAGGCTTATGGAATAATCAAAATGATACATTATTTTGGCTCCAAGTAGCATTGTAAGAAAAAAAGATAAGTTGTTATTTGTGACTTACAGACTTATTTTACAGTAATTATTTTAAAACTGTAGGAAAAATAGACTTAAAACATAGTATCGAACAACCTGATCTAATTGACAGTTATAGGACACACTACCCAAGAACAACAAAATACATTTTTTTCTTTTTCAAGAAAATATGAGGTATTACAAAGATAAATGTGTATGTAGGACTACAAAGTAAATTTCAACTAATTTAAAAGAAGTCAAACCATATGAGGTAAGTTCTTTAACAATAATAAAAATAATCAAAAATATGTAAGAGAATAATATCACAAAATCCTCTTATATTTATGTTATATTTATATATACATATTTATGTTATAAATATATAATCCTCTTATAAAAATGTTATAACAAATGTTCAAATAATTGATGGGGCAAATATAAAGAACAAAATAAATTGGTAATATTTTGAATTGAATGGAAAACAAAATATATCAAAATTTGACAGCATAGCTAAAGAAGTGCTAGAGAGAAAATATAATTGCTTGTATCTGAAAAAAGTAAAGTCTCAAATCAATGCTCTAAGTCTCCATTTTAAGAAAGGAGAAAAAGAGGAGCAACTTGAACTCAAATCAAATAGAAAAAAGATGTAATAAAGATAAAACCAGAAATCAATGAACTGTAAAGAGAAATACAAAAAAATTCAGGAAAACTAAATGCTTATTAATGGTAAAAATAAGGACACTTAGCAGAGTGATTAGGAAAAAATAGAGATCAATTTATAATATCAGAAGGACATCTCTATGTCTTATGGGAATATTATGAATATTATATTAATAAATTCAGTAATTTAAATGAACAAATTTCTTGAAATACTAAACTACCAAAGTTTGATTAAAAAACTGATAAACTCATTAGTACTATCTATTTAATAATGCTTTCAACAAATAAAACTTTAGGCAGAGAAGCCTTTACGGTGAATTTTCCAAATAATTAAGAAAATAACTATACCAATTGTCAAACATCTCTTCCAGAAAATTAAAGAGCATCCTATAGTTGTCAATAAATTTTGTAAGGCTGTATTTGTATTGAAAGAAAATAAGGATAAGAGAACAAAAGAATGGCAGTTCAATATTCATCAGCAACATAGATAAAAATATCCTCAACAATATATCAGACAAACAGCCCTTCTATATATGAAAAGGATAATGTATCATGACCATATCCTGGTAATGCAAAATTGGCACATTTAAAAAATCAAAACAATGTAATTCACCCTATCAATAGACTCTAGGCCATACATATACAAATGTGTATGTGTGTGTTGGTTGGGGGAAGGTAGAGGTAAATCACTTGGAATAGAAGACTCCTTCCTAACTTGTTAAAGAGAACTTGCCACACACACTCACATGCACACACACACACGTGTGCACGCACACACACACACAATCATCAAGAATCTCAAAATCAAAAGCCAAACAAATCAAACCAAACCAAAAATCACCCTACAGATTACAGTATACTTCATGATAAAACAGTGAATGCTTTCTCATATATTTTCTAAAAACAGAGATAGGAAGATATGTTTGCATGTGCTACTGTAATGTAACTGTTTTCAAATTTTAGGGAGCACAAGTAGGTTAAGAAAAAACAACAAAAGGCCTTGTATTTGGAATAGAATAATTAAAATGCTCTATATTTGCAGGGAATATAATTTTCTTTTTTTTTTCTTTTTTCTTTTTTTTTTTTTTATTATACTTTAAGTTTTAGGGTACATGTGCACATTGTGCAGGTTAGTTACATATGTATACATGTGCCATGCTGGTGCGCTGCACCCACTAAATCATCATCTAGCATTAGGTATATCTCCCAATGCTATCCCTCCCACCTCCCCCCACCCCACAACAGTCCCCAGAGTGTGATGTTCCCCTTCCTGTGTCCATGTGTTCTCATTGTTCAATTCCCACCTATGAGTGAGAATATGCGGTGTTTGTTTTTTTGTTCTTGCGATAGTTTGCTGAGAATGATGATTTCCAATTTCATCCATGTCCCTACAAAGGACATGAACTCATCATTTTTTATGGCTGCATAGTATTCCATGGTGTATATGTGCCACATTTTCTTAATCCAGTCTATCATTGTTGGACATTTGGGTTGGTTCCAAGTCTTTGCTATTGTGAATAATGCCGCAATAAACATACGTGTGCATGTGTCTTTATAGCAGCATGATTTATAGTCCTTTGGGTATATACCCAGTAATGGGATGGCTGGGTCAAATGGTATTTCTAGTTCTAGATCCCTGAGGAATCGCCACACTGACTTCCACAATGGTTGAACTAGTTTACAGTCCCACCAACAGTGTAAAAGTGTTCCTATTTCTCCACATCCTCTCCAGCACCTGTTGTTTCCTGACTTTTTAATGATTGCCATTCTAACTGGTGTGAGATGGTATCTCATTGTAGTTTTGATTTGCATTTCTCTGATGGCCAGTGATGACGAGCATTTTTTCATGAAATAACTCCGCATATCTACAACTATCTGATCTTTGACAAACCTGAGAAAAACAAGCAATGGGGAAAGGATTCCCTATTTAATAAATGGTGCTGGGAAAACTGGCTAGCCATATGTAGAAAGCTGAAACTGGATCCCTTCCTTACACCTTATACAAAAATCAATTCAAGATGGATTAAAGACTTAAACGTTAGACCTAAAACCATAAAAACCCTAGAAGAAAACCTAGGCATTACCATTCAGGACATAGGCATGGGCAAGGACTTCATGTCCAAAACACCAAAAGCAATGGCAACAAAAGACAAAATTGACAAATGGGATCTAATTAAACTAAAGAACTTCTGCACAGCAAAAGAAACTACCATCAGAGTGAACAGGCAACCTACAAAATGGGAGAAAATTTTCACAACCTACTCATCTGACAAAGGGCTAATATCCAGAATCTACAATGAACTCAAACAAATTTACAAGAAAAAAACAAACAACCCCATCAAAAAGTGGGCGAAGGACATGAACAGACACTTCTCAAAAGAAGACATTTATGCAGCCAAAAAACACATGAAAAAATGCTCATCATCACTGGGAATATGATTTTCTATGTAGTGCATTCCAAAGAGTCTTTCATGAGCTACCAGAACTAATAAGTATGTTAATAAATAGGTCTTGATGATATTGAAAAAATATGTTGAATTCTCGTATAACAGCAATGTAAAACTGTAAATTAAAATTTTATAAAAAGTACTATTTACAATAGCATCAAAAACATGAAGAACTTTAATTTATACCTAACAAAGTGTATGTAAGATTTGTGTCCTAAAAACTACAAAACATTGATGAAAGAAATCATGGAAGACCTAATTGGATGGAAATATACATAGTTTTCATTGATTAGAAGATTAATTTCGATAATATGTGAATTCTTCAAATTGTCTCGTGGATTCGACACATTCCCACTACAAATTCCAGCATGAAGTTTATGCGTATCAACGTATCAACGTTTATTCTAAAATCTACATAAAAAGCAAACTAGATAGAATAAACAGTCTTTAAAAACAACAGAGTTGGTGGACTCACACTATCTGATTTCATGTCTTAATAAAAATGACACTAATCCCTGCAGTGTGGAATTGTTAAAAGAGTAAATATAGATCAATGTAACACTATAGAGACTCCAGAAATAGACATACACACAATGTATATGTTTAATTAGGTACATGCAACAATATTAATAACGATTCAATGTAAATGAACAATAATAATGACAATGATTTTTCATAACATTTGAAATGATTTATTGGGTGCTAGGCACTATGCTGTTGCTTAATTAATATTATCTTTAGTGTTTATGACAAAATTCAAAACTGTATGTCATAAATCCCTTTTTTCTCCGACTGTGAAAATGAGTTTCAGATTAGTTACATAATTAGCTAAGGTATTATAACTCAAAAGTGCCCTAGCCCTAGGTGACAGGTCCATTTGATTCAAAGAGATTTTTCCATTTCCTTGGAGTGAGAAAATAAGATGGCAAGCAATTAATAGAGATATTAGTGAGAACTAAGAACTTATTCTACTGTCATGAGAGCATGAGAAAGGTCATAGGATATTAGATTTAAACACTGAAATATGAGTGGCTGATGACTATGGTGATAGTTGAATTGTGATGGCAATAATCAACACACTGGAGATAAAATAAATGTGGCATTTTCTTACAATTATCATTAATATGTATCTTGAGATATTTAAGTTTCATGGCAAAAGGGAAAACTGATTCATGTTCAACTAATTTTATTATAGTTAATTGAGTAGTTAATTTTGTGTATGAATGTTCTCCTATACAATTTTCTTTGTATTCATATAAAATAAGGGACTTTAAACACATAGCCAGGACTCTTCCTTGAAAGGAAAGGAAAATATACAGGAATAGAAACACTAATACCTATTTCCTGACTGCTAGAAAGAAAGGAAGGAAGGAAAGAAGAAAAAATAAGGAAAGAGAGAATGAAGGAGGGAAAGAAGAGAGGGAGGGAGGGAAGTGGAAAAGGTGGAAAAATACAACGGAAGAAAGGAGGGAATGAAAAGAAAAGAAAATTAAATCCACATTAGTCTGAAAATTAGAGGAAATTGCTGTTGCACAAAAATTGTAAAAATAGGTATAAATGAAACTGGGTATTACCACCTTGATCCACTGGGAATGAAGTGCATAGATATCTACATTTGCTTCTGTAGCCTGACCCTAGGCAGTAGAAGTAATTGAGAAACTGTCCACAGAACTTTATTATTAGACAGTGAAATTTGAAAGGAAAATTTAGTCCTGAAATCCTCATGCAGATAGAGTCTCCTCAAAGACAAGCTCGTAGACTACAGGGAGCTGATAAATGAAATTGTGAGTGAGGTTATTGGTCTCTAAGAGAGTGTTGTGTATGCTTACTTTATTGGAGCAGTAAAAAAGCTCCCATTTCCTGGTAACGAGAAGTGCCTTATGAATTTATCTATCATCTAGGAGAAGTATAAAAAAATTCTGTAACATTATTTGAAGGTATGTTCATTTGCTAGGAATGAAAATTGAGGTTAGTTGCTTATAATTTGTTTGAAATTCATTTTCTGACATGAGAAAGAAAGGCTTCAGATACTTCACCAGGTTAAAGAAAAAGAAATTAAGTACCTTTATCAATCTGCCAAAAGTAAAACCATGCAAAATAATTTTTATTTTTATTTTTCAGAGTGTTTACATATTGGAATACTAATAATGCACAGAAATAATACTTTTTCATATATAAGATGAAGAATATATCAAACTACTTCACTGTAATATTAATGAATCTCCATATGTTAACATAATGTTAATATTATGGTAAAGCTCTAAATGCATCTTATGTATTACATTGATGAATTACCTTTGATTTTGTAGCCCTACCTATGATATAACTTTTATTACTATCCCTATTTCACAGCAGAAAAAGTGTAGGCAAAGGAGAGTGAATACATACATGCTGGATCTATAAAGAGTGCCCCTAATATCTGTAGTGCCCTATTAAACTATGGGGATGGGGAATTCTTTGGCATGACCCCATCTTTACCTCTGCTTCCTCAAAAGTGCCTGTTTTTTTTTTTTTTTTTTTTTTTTGAGTGATTTACCTAGGACTGTTAGGTTGGGCGAGATCCATGCCCAGATTTTCTTCTGATATTCATTTTCCCCCTTTATTAAAACTTATTTATTGGTGTTCATTCCCTGAGGACCTTGCTAAGCAATTTTTTCTTACAAGCTAATGGAATAATGCATTACCTTCCCAGCTAATAGGGTTACCTTTCAAAAGAGCCATTTTGAAGATACTAACTGATGAAAAATAATTGATGTTGATTGAGCCTTTCCGGTATCAGGCAGGTCTCCTCTCTAATATCTGAAGTAACTCAGAAAGTCATTCTGTTGTATTCTGACTACAATGTAGTTAGCCATAGCATTCAACTCACTCTGGTAAAAGCTGAACTTTTTAAACATCTGGGACCCCTAGAGCTGTTCTAAATTGCCTTGTCAAATTGCAAGCTGCTCATGGTGATCTGAGGATATCAGTTACAACAGAATTATTCACTTTCAGGATCAAGATGTTTATATGTATTTAGCAGTGGAAACCTGGTAAAAAACTGAAATTGACATGGATCTTTCTTCTCTGAATAAGTTCTAAAATGATACCACCAAGATATGCATTTTTGGTGTACTCAAGTATGTTTAATCTTAAGTGATACTTGCATGAGAAATTTTACAAAAGTGTAGGATATTAACTTATTGTCTACAAAATTCTCAGAAATCTTAGAATTTTGTTCTGATCTTTTCAGGCTCAGAGGAATGCATGTATT
Organism: Homo sapiens; assembly: GCF_000001405.40. Classification (NCBI taxonomy): domain Eukaryota; kingdom Metazoa; phylum Chordata; class Mammalia; order Primates; family Hominidae; genus Homo; species Homo sapiens. Next base: position 94,907,515 of record NC_000006.12, on the reverse strand, counting down.
ACCACTAACAAAGAAAATGTCTTCACATTCTGAGGTGATAGTGTACAACATGCATTATCAATTGTAGAATTTTTTAAATTTCTGGATATAGACTGTTAATCATTGTGTGCATGACATATATTTGAATCCTGCAGTTGATAATAATAAAATGCAGGCACTAAAAGACATAGAAGCTTATTATTCCTACTTTCAATATGAGTCTATAAAATACTTTATAAATTAGGCAAGTATTAAAAATGACCTTATTTTGTCACTGAATATTTATTAGAAACCCACCAAAGAGAATATTCCTATGCCACAATTCAAAAGCCTAATTTAAAAATTTTTTAAATTAATTTTTAAAACTTTTGTGGGTACATAGTATGTATATATATTTATTGTATACATTAGATGTTTTCATGAAGGTACGCAATGTGAAATAAGTGCACTGTGGAGAATGGTGTATTCATCCTCTCAAGCATTTATCTATTGAGTTACAAAACAATCCAATTACTTTCTTTACATTATTTTAAAATATACAATTATTATTGACTGTAGTCACTTTATTGTGCTATCAAATAGTAGGTTTTATTCATTCTTTCTATTTTTTTGTATCCATTAATCATACTCACCTTCCACCCAACCCCCAACTACTCCTACCAGCCTCTAGTAATTATCCTTTTACTCTCTATGTCTATGAGTTCAGTTGTTTTGATTTGTACATCTCACAAATAAGTGAGAACATGTGATATTTGTATTTCTTTGCCTGGTTTATTTCACTTAAGATAATGATCTTCAGTTCTATCCATGTTATTGCAAATAACTGGATCTTATTCATTTTTATGGCTGAATAGTACTCCATTGTGTTTATGTACCACATTTTATTTATCCATTCATCTGTTGATGGGCGTTTAGGTTGCTTCCACATCTTAGCTATTGTAAACACTGCTGCAACAAACATAGTTGTGCTGGTATCTTTTTGATATACTGAATTCCCTTTTTGGGATATATACCCAGCACTGGGGTTGCTAGATCAGACAGCATCTCAATTTTTAGTTTTTAAAGAACCTCCACACTATTCTCCATAGTGGTTGTACTAACTTACACTTCCACCAACAGTTCACAAGTGTTCCCGTTTCTTCACATCTGTGCCAGCATTTATTATTGCCTGTCTTTTGGATATAAGCCATTTTAACTGGGGTGAGATGATATTTCACTGTAGTTTTGATTTGCATTTCTCTGATAATCAATGATGTTGAGCACCTTCTTATATGCCTGTTTGCCATTTACATGTCTTCTTTTGAGAAATGTTTATTCAAATATTTTGCCCATTTGTGATTGGATTATTAGATTTTTTTTCTATAGGGTTGTTTGAGCTCCTTATATATTCTGGTTATTAAGTCCTTGTCAGATGGGTAGCTTGCAAATATTTTCTCCCATTCTGTACATTGTCTCTTCACTTTGTTGACTGTATCCTTTGCTGTGCAGAAGCTTTTTAACTTCATGTGATCCCATTTTTCCATGTTTGCTTTGGTTGTCTGTGCTTGTGGGGTATTGCTCAAAAAGTCTTTGCAGAGATTAATGTCCTGCAGATTGTCCCCAGTGTTTTCTTATAGTATTTTCATAGTTTCAGGTCTTCATTCCATTTTGATTTTATTTTTGTATATGGTAGAGCTAGAGGTCTAGTTTTATTCTTTTGTATATGGCTATTCAATTTTCCCAGCATCATTTTTCAGGTCTTCCGATATGATGTATCAACAGAATAAAGGATATTGGCCACTTTATCATTATATAATGACTTTACTTGTCCCTTCTTATAGTTTTCATTTGGAAATTTATTTTGTCTAAGTATAGTAATTTCTGCTCTTTCTTGGTTTCCATTGGCATGGAATATCATTTTTCACTGAATTCCAGAAATCCAGATTTCATGAAATATCTCTTTTTGATTTGTATATGTTGAACCACCCTTGCATCCTGGGATAAATTCTATTTGGTCATGATATATGATATTTCTAATGTATTGTTGAATGCAGTTTGCTAGTTTTTGGTGAGGATTTTTGCATAAATATTCATCAGTTTTATTGGCTTGTAGATTCTTTCTTTCTTTCTTTCCTTGTTTCTTTCTTTCTTTCTTTCTTTCTCTTTCTTTGATGGGATAGTTTAGTCCACTGACATTCAATGTTACTACTGATAAATAACTTATTCCAGCCATTTTGCTATTTGTTTTCCGGTTACTTTGTGGTCTTCTCTTCCTTCTTTTTTTTTTTTTTTTTTCATTTCTGTTTTCCTCTTGTGAAGTTGATTTTCTCTGGTGATATAATTTAGTTTCTTGCTTTTTATGTTTTGTGTATCCATTGTATGTTTTTTGGTTTGAGGTTACCAGGAGACTTGCAAGTATTGTCTTACAACCCATTATTTTTACCTGATAACAGCACTACTTTCAAAAACAAAATAGCAAAAAGAAAACTAATAGAAACTTGCCTTAAATTTTCCCCCTACTTTTTAACTTCTTGCTGTTTCTATTTGTATTTTATTGTACAGACTCTTTCCTGAAATGTTTTTGCAGTTATTGTTTTTGATTGGTTCATTGTTTAGTCTTTCTATTTAGGATATGAGTAGTTTACACACCACAGTTACAGTGTTACAGTATTCTGTGTTTTTCTGTTTACTCACTATTACAGTGAATTTTGTACCTTCAGGTGATTATTTATTGCTCATTCATATTATTTTTTTCTCATTGAATTACTCTCCTTAGCATTTTTCGTAGGACAAGTCTAGTATTAATGAAATCTCTTAGCTTTTGTTTGTCTGAGAAAGTCTTTATTTCTCAATGTTTGCAGGATATTTTCACCAGATATACTATTCTAGAGTAAAAGATTTTTTTTTTTCCTTTAGGACTTTAAATATGTCATGCCACTCTCTCTTGACCTGTAAGGTTTCCACTGAAAAGTCTGCTGCCGGTGTATTGGAGCTTTATTGTATGTTGTTTCTCTTCTCTTGCTGCTTCTAGGATATTTTATCCTTGACTTTAGGGAGTTTGATTATTAAATGCCTTGAGGTGATATTTTTTGGGTTAAATCGGCTTGGTGTTCTCTAACATTCTTATACTTAGATATTGATATCTTCTTCTAGGTTTGGGAAGATCTCCGTTGCTATTCTTTTGAATAAGCTTTCTACCCCATCTCTTTCTTTATCTCCTCTTTACAGCAAATAAAGTTTTAGATTTGCCATTTTGAGGCTATTTTCTAGACCCTGTAGGTGTTATTCATTATTTTTTATTGCTTTTTCTTCTGTCTCATTTGAATGCATATTTTAAAATAGGCTGTCTTCAAGCTCACTAATTATTTATTCTGCTTGATCCATTATGCTGTTAAAGGACCCTGATATATGCTTCAGTATGCCATTTGCAGTTTTCAGCTCCAGAATTTCTGCTTGATTCTTTTTACTGATTTACTGATTTGTTAAATTTGTCTGATAGAATTCTGAATTTCTTCTCTTTGTTATCTTGAATTTCTTTGAATTTCATCAACACAGTTATTTTGAATTCTCTATTTGAAAGTTCACATATCTCTGTTTCTCCAGGATTGATCCCTGGTGCTTTATTGAGTTCATTTGGTAAGGACATGTTTTCCTGGATTATGTTGATTCTAGAAGATGTTCTTTAGTGTCTGAGCATTGAAGAATTAGGTATTTATCATAGTCTTTACTGCCTGGGCTTATTTGTAGCCATCCATCTTGAGAAGGCTTTCCAGATATTTGAAAGGACTTGGGTGTTGTGATCTAAGTTGTTTCTGTTTTAGGGGGCATCCCATACCTAGTAATGCTGTGGTTCTTGCAGACTTGTAGAAGTACCACCTTGATGATCTTGGACAAGGTCTGGGGGAAATTCTCTCGATTACCAGGTAGGGAGTCTTGTTCTCTTCCCTTTCTCTCAAACATACAGAGTCTCTCTGTCTTTTCAGAGCCACCTAAGGCTGGAGGTGTAGTGACACAAGTACCCCTGTGCTCACCACCACTATGACTGCTCTGGGTCAGACCTAAAGCCAGCATAGCACTATGTCTCACCCAAGGCTTGCTGTAACCACTCCCTGGCTACTGCCTATGTTTGCTTAAGGCTCCGGGGCTCTACAATCAGTAGGTGGCAGAGCTTGCCAGCCTTCCCTTCAGGCTGACAGGGTCCCCCAGGCCCCAGGGCATTCCAGAAGTGCTACCTGGAAGTCAGAGACTAGAGTAAAAAAAACTTAGAAGTCTTCCTAGTATTCTATTGTATTGCAGCTGAGCTGAAACTCAAACCACAAGATTCAGTTCTTCCCACTCTTCCCTCCCCTTTTCAAAGGCAGAGAAGTCTCACTTTGTAGCCACTGCCACTCCTGGCCACAAGAAGTACTGCCAGGCCACTACCAATATTCCATTAAGGACCATGGTCTGTTCAGTCAGATTATGGTGAATGCTGCCTGGGCTGGGACTCACCTTTCAGGTCATTGGGTGCTCCTCTGGCTCAGGAAAGGTCCAGAAATGCCACTGAAGAGTCAAGTCCTGGAATCAGGGACCCCAAGAGCCTGCTCAGTGCTCTACCACCCTGCGGCGATGCTGGTACCTAAGGTACAAGACAAAGTTCTCTTTTACTTTTACCTTTGCTTTCCTCAAGCAAGAGTTTTGCCCCATAACTACCACAGCTGGTAATGTGCTGAGTCTCACCTGAAGCCAGCAAGTCTCAAGGGCCTTGATGTATACCTGGATATTGCTGCTGGTTATTCAGGGCCCAAGGGCTTTTCAGTTAGCAGGTAATAAATGCTGACACACTCGGTCCTTTCTTTCAAGTCAGCAGCTACCCTTCTGGCCCAGGGTGTGTCTAGAAATATCACCTGGAATGGGACCTGGAATGGGGGCCTCATGACTTTGACTGGTACCCTATCCTACTGTGGCTGGGCTGGCATCCTAGATGCAAGACAAATTCCTTCCTACTCTTTCTTCTCCTCATGTGGAAGGAAGGGTTGTCTTTTGGAGCCTTGAGCTGTGCAACCTGGGTTTAGGGGAGGGGTGATGCCAGAACTCCCTTGGCTGCCCCAGCTGGTGTTTCAGTAGGTCACATGACTCCAACCCACCTCAGCAGTCAACTGTCTCTGTGCCTAGTTCAGCCCTAGAACTCGCCTATGAGAGTTGCAGTCCTTATGGTCTAGACTGTCATTTAAGTTTACTTAGAGATGGAGAGTACTTTGGCTTTCAGTGGTGTGGTTTGTGGGCACTCAAGTTCAGACCACTGGAATTGGCAATTCCCCTCTGATTAGGACTGGTTTAAATGTTCCCTCTGTGGGCAGGCATCAGCTGAGTTTGGTATGGTTTTCCTTTCTGCTCTAACAGGACAGCACTGCCAGGGATAGAGTAGGGGTGGTGTCAGTGATTCAGGGTTGTCTTTTCTATCTCATCAGTGCCTCTTTCAGTGATATGAAATTAAAACCAGGTACTGTGAGTGCTCACCTGATTTTTGGTTCTTATGAATGTGTTTTGTTTTCTTCTGTGTAATAGTTATTAACTTGGTGTCCTTGTGGGGAGGGGAGACAATCAGTGGAACTTTCCTTTTTGCCATCTTGCTCCACCTCTCTCCAAAAACTTTAAATTTTTATTTAAAGAACCCTCAGCATTTTCTCAACAGGTTATTTGAAAGTATGTATTATTCAACATTTGTTTTGATCTTTGAAAATTTGTCTTTACATAATATACTCAAATTCATATCGTGATCATTGATAAAGGATTGAGTTCTGCTCCGGTGGTTTTCTCTATTGAAAGTAGCATTTCCATATAAAACTTTTGGATAAAAAGAACATTTTATCTTAAGGAAATTGTGAAGTGGGTTAGACTTGCTTTCTGAATCCTATGCTTTGTTAATACACACTTCCTTTATGGTGGTTTCTGGAGCACCAACCCAGGCTGATTTTTAGGATATGTTACATATTTTCCTCTTTTGGTTTCCTCTTTAATCTCATGTTTTTATGTTTCATGCTTCTTTCTCCCTATCTTTCCCTCTCTCTCTCATCAAACTTATTCCCAAAGGTCACAATCATCCTTCCACATGTCTACTAATGCGAATGGCATGTGGAAATTTTGATTGATGGCACATTGGAAATTTTGAACATGGACCTCTATTTCTTCTTCTTGGGGCTTCATATAAATCTGAGATGGCAAAGAGCTGATCTGATGAATTATTATGTACAAAGAAGGAAATCTAGAGCCATTTTTTAGGAGAAGGTCACAAAGAGCAAGACTTTAATGAGTGTCGGTATAACTAAATGAAGTTACGATAATTGGCTAGTTTCTTACCTTTTCCATGTTTGTTTTTTCATCTGTGAAATTGAACGAATATGTTGCGAGATAGTTATGAGACTCAAATGACTAAATTATGTATGTTTTAACACATATAAATGCGACAACACAGTGTCTGAGACATAACAGACCCGCAGTGAATATTTGTTAATTTGAAGCTCAGGTGACAAAGCAGGGTGTAGAGAGTTACTGGTTGGTATTGACCCTGAGGAATGAGAAGCAAACCAGTAAGGAAAGTGGGAAAATCAGGTCTTTATGGGAGAGGTCATGATATCTGGACATCAGTAATTAATATGAGAAGATAGTGGTCACAAGCAAATGCAAAAGGTGATTAACTGAGAATTTGGTCAGGATAGAGCTAAAGCTTATGGAGCTCTGTGTGTGGAATTCCACAATGCTTTTAAAAAGGAGAAAATGAATATGAATAAAGAAGAAGTATGAGATTAACAGCTATGGGTAAATGAGGTGAAGAAGCAGTGACTTGAAAATTGGTAAGATGAACTATGTACTAGTAGTATAAGAAATAATGATATGAAGAAGAAATAGTTTTAATATTTGGTGAAGTTGCAAGAAAATGGATAAGCATTGGCCATAAAACTAAATTTTAGTGTCCAAATGTGGCTTTTATACATTCCTTCTGATAATTTATAAGACCTCCTCTCAAGAAGTAGTTTGATTTTCTTAGTAGGAAATAATAAGTCCCTGAAAGAAAGATTAATATCATGGCACTTTAATCTAGCAGAATCCCTAAGGCTGATTTGATACTCAGTGCTTTGTCTACTTACAAAAGGAATCATTTGACTGTTGTGATAAAAATGATTATTTCAATGGCTGAGAAGATTAATCGCTTAAGTTGCACTCCAAATTTGGGGGCCCTATAGAAACACAGTACTGGTAATACAAATTTTAAGTACCAAGGGGCTTTGTGTAAGAATCCCTATGCATAATCATGTTGACAGTCTATTAGGAAAATAGCAACATTGGGTTTCTTTGGTCTTACATGACACAGAATATTTCTTATTTAATAGATTTGTGTATACCAAACTTTAAGCAAACAACATACTGTGATGTGTACTTTATAGATGGATCATTTTTGTCCATAAGCAATTTTGCGTTATCATGTGTTGTTTAATGGCTGAGGACCTTCCAAAATAGGCTTAGAGGATTATGCAATACATAATTTCTGACTTTTAAAAGTTCAGAAAAAGTAGTTATGGTTTATTTGGAGATATCACATAGTTTACTGAAGTCTCCTGAGCTTGTTGACATCTCTGACACTTTGTGAATGAGGCCTTTTTTATTTTCCCTTCATTTGTTTAGTTCTTTACCTAATTGATTTTCTGTGCTAATACACTAAAGGTCTGAAGAAGGCAGTGCCTCAGGTGTGACAGATGAAATAAGGTGCTTTTAGTCATTGCTTTTATCTTCCATGTCTAATGTGTTGGTTACAGCTGTGCAGTTTAACAGCAAAATCAATACATCATTTGCTGCAGGTACCTACAATAATTTGAAAGTCCTTCGGTATTTTAACTATTAGATTTCCTCTGTATTTTTATTTATGTATTTATTACTTATCTACTTATTTATATGCTTTCTGATATTGAATGCCACAAGGTGACAGATTTTTTTTCTCCCTCTTGCTGTCTTCTCAAACATTGTCATTTGCACTAGCTAGTTAAGTTACTTTTCTTTGGATCTTAGAACATCTGCCAATCTAAATGAATCCCGTAAAGTGTAAAATAAATGTTTAAAAAATCTTTTCCATTTTGTCTAAATCATCTTTGAGCTTAAACATTTAGCATATGTTCCACTGAAAATGGAACTATTTTGTATTGTGCACGAAAAGCAGTATGTGTGAGGGCACTGAGCAATTTCTCATGTAAATGGATGCTTTTATTGCCAGTTTTCCATTTTGCATTGGCAATTACATGGTTTCAACATAAAAGAGGAAAAAAAAACACTATCACCACAACCTACTTTATTAGAACAACCCTATGCTCAATATTCTTCTGTGCATATGTATGTTCTTTCTTTCATAATTTTTCAATTGGTTAGTAATCATTGGTTTCACTTTTATACCTTGAATGTAAGAATGGGAAATGAATCCTGTCCTTCTCTCTGCTTCCTTCATATAAATGAGCATAGGTGCAAATATATATGTGGTGAGGGCGGCTACTGCAGCTTTGAAATCCCATGCAGAATTTTCCTCATTTTTTTACTCATAACTACTTCTTAAGAAAAGTCTATTGAATTTTTTAATTGATGTTTTCTAATAGTTAAGTTATTCTGCATATGCCCATGCCTATGTATAATTTATGAAAGTAGTGTTATTATTCAAGAATTATATTCTCAAAGTTAACTTAAACCTATTTTTAAAAATGAGTTTAAGAGATGAATTAACATGCTTATCTCAAAGAAGGGACATTCTCAAAGAAGGGACATTTTAGGTGAAATAAATTATAATAGAGTGATGATGTTGTCTTAAGACAACACATATCAGTTCATCAGTATCTGTTCCACATATTAGCATAGTATCTGCAATAAACTTATAACTAAACCTTAAAATCTTAAATGTTAAAGTTTAGATAGATTCAGAATATACAGGGCTTTGCCTCCATTTTATAAATAAGAACAAATGACATTTAAGTAAACTATACTAATGAAAGTATATATCTCACAATATGGATTGTAGGCTAATTTATACCTTATTGTATATAGCCATATATATATATTTAAAGTTCATGTTTGGTCATAATGATGACCCTGAAAGAAAAGGAGAACTTGACTGATGTCTCAGTTTTAAACAAGGTTAAAATTATGTCAGTTTATATCACTTTAAGTGTTTTTTTAAATTTTATTCTAGTTATTTCAAAAGAGTAATTATTAACTTATATATGATTTATCTCAGTTGGCAAATAAATTTAACTGAATTCTAATTTTCAACCATTTGTTTTAGTTTTTTCTTTTTTAATAGGCTACTTTTTCAGGTTTCATGATTGGTATATATAATAATTAACCTGGTTAACTTTTAACTTATTCTTGGATTAAATGTAATGTGATTCTTCCTGGAATTTTATAGAAACTGGCTGATATGGTTTGCATATGTGTCTCCTCCAAATATCCTGTTGAAATTTCATCCCAAATATTGGAGGTGGGCCTAGTGGGTGGTGTCTAGGTGATGGGGGTGGATTCCTCATGAATGCCTTGGTGTTGTCTTCACAGTTATGAGTTCTCTCTCCATTAGTTCACAGGTGAGATGGATATTTAAGAGACTGTGCCACTTCCTTCTCTTTCTTGTTCCCTCTCTTGCCAAGTGACATGCCTCCTCCTGTTTCCCCTCTGCCATGACTAAAAGCTTCCTGAGGCCTCAACAGAAGTCAATCTGATGCCATATTTCTTGTACAGTCTACAGAACCATGAGACAGAATAAACCTGTTTTCTTTATCAATTTCCTAGCCTTGGGTATTCCTTTATAGCAACACAAAATAGACTAATACACTGGCACAATTTGGATAGGTGGAAGATATGTATTTATGAAGTTATATATGAATATATTTATATGTCTGATAGCATGTTTATGTTAGCAATAGCTTACTATTATGTTTTCCTTCATTCAAGATGTCTGCATTAGTCATCAAAGGGTTTTTCTATTGTGAAGCAGATTTATGTTCCTGAACAGTCTATGCTGGCTCTGCAGGCAGGTTCAGTTTCATTTGTAATTGTACAAATGCGTATTTTCATTGCTCCAACCTAAGAAATTTGATGGAATGTAGTTGATTCATCAAAGGCTTTTTCTCTAAAATAAAATAGATTCCTCATTAAAATTGCAGAATTGTTTTTCTAAATCTTATTATCAATTATTAGTGAATAGTTTATTTGGTTCAGTTTATTAGCGACTAAAAGAAGTGACTCTATCCCTATTACCTTTATGACTACATTTTTCTAATATGTTGGTGTTTGACCAAAGAATGAAACTCAATCCCTTGTGAACCTCACTGAAACTAATTGTAGATCTAAAGAACAGTGAATCAGAATACTTAATATGACCTAATCATAAAGCAGAAAATGGACTTAAAGCCCTTCACATTTTGCACAAATATACCTATCTACGGGCAATGCAAGCTTGTTAGAGTAATGCCATATTAGCATGCTTTAGACAGGAGGACACAACTTATTTCTGGGTAGGAATAGATCTTCCATTAAGAAGACTTTTTTTTTTTTACATTATTTAAATGTAACTATGCTGGTGCAAATCAAATGGTGTGAGGCTATATCTGCTTTTGAATTCCAATGACATGATATTTTCATTTCTGTAACCAAGCTCCTTTAATCTGCTACATTATTTAAATTTGGGAAGTATCCAATATTATGCTATATTGATGCTTTGGCAGTTTCACCCAAGATTGAATCACTGATCTTGTGAAAAATATGGCCAGGAAATCTATGAACTTGGTGTGGTTATTAGTTAAGAAATTGGGCAATATTCTCATGAGAAGCAGAAGTACAGTATATAAAGCCCTAATTCTTTAAGGATAAAAAGGCCTTAAGAAGGCATTCATTTTTTATTTTCCTTTTCTGGGAATGACTTATCTAAATAAGATAGGTATGTATTATGTATCATCTTTTAGGATTGTACGATTAGCATGTATAGAGCATCTGCTATGTGATTTGTATCCTTCGAGGACACTAGAAGATACAAAGATGAGTAAGACAGGCTCATTGTACACTAGAAATTTATAATATAATGAGAGGAGTAGTTATGTGCATAGATATTTGGAATTTAACCAACGAAAGAAGCAGGTGAGGGACTGAATGGAACCTTAGATTGAAAAATGGACCCCTCGGTCCTATGGTTTCCAAGAGGCAGCCATTCAAACTCTTCCAGTAACACATTTCATCTAGTTCATTCTTCAATATTACCCCAAGACGGTCATGCTTCCATTTTTTGATGTATCTCTGTTTATGATTATTCCATTTGTAAACATCATCCCTGACAATTTGTGTTTATCACCTACTAATACTTTTTTATTGTTTCACAATGTGTTTAAAAATAAAATAATAATTCAGAAATAAATGCTTCCTGCCTTTTATGATTTCCAAAACTATCACTAGCAGTAGAGAATCAGTGTAAGAGGGGTACATTTTCAGCTATATTTTAATATTTCATCTGTCTTTCTGAAATCTATTGTCATTAGCTTCTAGTAAAGTATAGTGCCACAGAGGTATCTTTGGTGTTTTGTTTCCTGCTAAGTTACAACATAGCAGGTGATATTGTATGAAGGTTACAATGAGCATATAGTAGAATAGTACCTTCCTGGTTTGAGGTGTACAAAAGACCCAGCTTCAAATCATATTGATTTTTATACAGAAAATTGTTATATTGCAAGCAAATTAGGTGCTTTTGATAATAATTTTTTTTCCTGTATGATCTGGAGAATTCTAGATCCCCTATATATCTTCCAAAGCGAGAGCAGCTTTGACATGAGATATAATAGGAATACAGACTGCTCATCTCCACATAGAACTGTTATATAAACAACAGAACCTACTTATCCCAGAACAACAAAGAATCTACCTATAACCTTGGAAGGCAAAACAGGCAACTGATTTGTTTATTTCTTTATAATTTAATTGAAGCATATATTGATTTACTCCTAGGTGCTAGTAGATGAGATAACTGGTAAAATAAAAATGGACTTTGATTTCAATTAACTTGCTTTGAAAGAAGAAGTAAGGATGGAAACCAGAGAAGTCAATCAGACCAATATAACTCTTTGTGTGGGAACATGGTCTTGTATAATCTCAATCCAAATCTAAGCATGGAATTGTATTTGGTGTTTGGGATAATGCTTTAAGACTCTTCTAGGCCTGGATTCACTCTCTCTAATATACGTTTACAAATCCTATTTCTTTCAAACTACTTAGGGTTCTTCCCATGAGTAACTATAGAAGGGTAGAAAAGACAAGTTATAGCAAAACTTCCCCAGTTCTACAGCAATAAAGTAGATTTGTAGACATATATACCAAACTTGGAATCAGCGTCCACCACTCAGTTGCTACCTCCCACACCCAAATACAAATATAAAAAGTATGTTCTGGGGAGCACTATTTTAAAATATATCTCTTAAATATACATGTATTAAATATATACTGACCAAACAGATGATACTTAAAGAAGTAGCTGATAGAATAATTATGATAGTTAGATACTAACTTAATAAAAAGATAAATGCTGTTCTCTTGAGTCTTTGGGTATTTTTACATAGTAAGAAAATTACAGGTTGTTTAGACTGTTAAATTGTTTAGTTCTCTGTTTCAAACATGACTCTACTTTTGCCAAAGTGAAGGAAAGAGACAAGCTTATTCCCTGTCTAATTTTTACTTTATTATAATGCATCAGGTCACCTCTGTCTACTCCCTACCTGTCCTACTGAGGCATACTATCATATAATATTATATAAATGGTAAAAAAAAATTGGTTTTCATTTTTATTAAAATAAAAGGCAAAGGGAAGCATATGTCTTACAACATAGGAGCTCAGGAAAACTGTGAGTTTGTCCCAGAGAATTCATTTTCTCATTGATTTGTGCCTTTTTCCATGGTAATCTCAATTGTAACTTTCAAACGTTATACAACATATGGTGCCTGGGCCTAGGGAGTAAGGGAAAAGTCTGAGGGCGTGCCAGTGAGTATAAAAGAAAGTACGTACAAGTGAGGACTTGTCTTTAACTCACCATTCCTGTCCTCTGTGGTGTACTTAGTTTCTGTGAACATTGTGCTCTTTCCAGGACTCTTGTGCCATTATTTGTTAGGTATCAATGAAATACAGAGACTTAGAATAGGAAGGTGATTTGCTTCAATACATTGTTTTGCAGGAAATGGCTTATTGCTGAGCTAAATTTTCAATGTTGCAGACCACTCAAGTTCGCATTTCTAGCAATAGAACTGCAAATGGATGCAGACATCTGAGTGTTATCAAGGCACATAGTCATGCTATAAATGGCTCTTTTGTCTAGTTTTTCTCTACATTTTTGCTTACATTCAGGTAAGTCTAAATTGCCTTTTCCATAATGTTAAAATCAGTTGATCTACCAAATGCTTGCAGTACTATTTCAGCAAGATCCATTGTGAGAAGCAATAGGGTCTACTTTAATTTATGAAATGCAGCATTAATGCAGTTCTTTGTAATGTGAAAAGTCAAAGAAAGTGAAAAACAACACTCTTTTGGTTCTTTTTTATATGCATGCTGTCAAATCAAATAAAATGTTTGAATACCTGTTATTATTAAAAGCGAAGACTGCCTAGTGAGTAAGTTTAAACCAATTTAAGAAATTAAAAAAAAAAAAACTTAATGAGGTTCTTATGAAAATCACTTTCAACAGGAGTACAGGCCCTTTTCCTTATATTTTCTGTATGACATAGTATTTTGTTGCCTTGTTCATATCGCCTGTGGAAATGAAAGTTTCTTCTTCATATTTCAGATTGATGAAAATCTACAGTATGCTAAAACCTACATGCAAATAAAATGACAAGTCTTAAAAATTAACGAATGGTGAATTTTACAGTTAGCTGTTTGGCAAGTAAGGGAAACACTTCACATTCTAGGAGTGCATCTAGTGACTTTTCTCCTAATTTAATCTGAAAGTTATTGAACCGTGGAATCTCAAAGCAAACAAAATATGGCCAAAGCAAACAAGATATGGACATTCCATAATATTTGTTAGTCAGTTAGGCCAAAAAAATTGTGTAAGTTAATAAAATAAAATAAAGTATAAGATTTCTAAGATAAGGCATGTCAAGTATTATTTAAATTAATAGTTCAAGAATGACTAATGGTAGAAAATGACACAGGCATATTTAACTTGAAAATCTTAAAGTTGCCCTGTTGCTACTTAGAAGCCATAGTTCATCTTCAATCTTCCCTTAAACTAAGTAGAGATGTTACTCTACAGATTCAAAGCATTCTCAGGAGAAAATTCCCACCATCAGTTAATAATAGCCCAATCAAGCATCACATTAGGTTCTTTGGTCATTGTATACTTACATAACATAAAACTTAAAGTCCAGTGCACTCAAATTGTCTGGAGTCTCTAAGGTTGATACTAATTCTCTATGAACCTCTACAGCAAACAGAATATAGTTTATATATTAGGGATATATAGTTTATTATGTTGCTGCCATGAACAAGCAGTTTTTTACAGTTGAATTGTTATTTAGTGAACTTGATCAAAATGCAGTGCTATATTTACTTTTCAAAACAGCTTTTTAGGCATTAAGTCCCATGATGACTAGATGCTTTAAAACAGTTGCAATACATCAGTTCAAAGAAAGTATTATTTTAGCAATGGGTGAAGTCTGTCCTATATGTACAGCCCTCAGAGCATTTTCTTATTCTTTGTGATATAGTGCTGAAGAAGTATAATTCAGGTCATTACCTCTAGTGCTTTCCAGGGTAGAGAAGTACATTATATTAAATTAGCAGTGAACAGATGAAAGCTCTTTCTACACAGTACAGCAAAGCTGTGGATTTGCAATAACACAGATAAGTTCCAAACCCTCTTATGGGTCATTGCAGATTGTTTGCAAATAATCACATTCTGACTCCAAAGAAACATTGGAAATATTTTCATGCTTGTTGGTGAGAGCTCTGAAGCTCTACTTTAGCCAGAATACCTTTGAAGAAAGTACAGTGTGTGTGTATAGCCAAATCTTCTATATACTGTCAATAGAATCATCTATTTTATGTTAAACAATTACTATAATTTTTTGTCCAGTTCAGGACACCCATAGGCCCCATCTTTGCACATTGCAAATTAAAAAACTAGAGTCATAAAGTAGTTCTTATTATTGTCATAATAACCACCATCATCATTTATGTCATCATCATCACTATCAAAATATGCAGACACAAAGAACTTCCAATTTTAGCCATTAAAAAAGAACAGTTTTAAGATTTACCCTTCTACTACAAACTTCTGAAAACCTAGAAACAATAGAAAATGACTGTTTTCAGACATTGAAAAAGCATCAGCCCAAGACTGCAATCCTAGCAAAAAGGGAAACAAAGTGTGTCATATATTTGCTCCAATTTTTATCCTGAGGAAATTTCCAGATTAAGGAATAGGAAGGGGAAGCTTCCAGAGCAATGAAAAAGCCCCATAAATTTGTACAGATATCCCTTTAGTCTTTGACAATACAATTAATAACAATCTGTGCATACATAGGGTGAAAACTGATAAGACTGGTCAAAGTTGGAAATATAACTGCTCCCTGAATTCACACAGATCAGGTGATTATTTAAATTTTTTCCACACAATGTGAAAAATGTTGAAGGATTATACCTCAGTAGTGAGGCTAAACTTGCTTAGTAGTATAGGAAATATACACCAATTTAATAAAATCTAAAATCAAACATCATAAAATCTTATAATTATTAAAACAATCTGTAAGTAATTTTGTAACTACTTGGGAGATTGGAGGTGTTCACATTTATAGTTAGACATTCCAACACTCTTTATAATAACACAAACATTCAGCACTCAGAAATGTAGTATCACTATGTCCTTCAGCCAAAAAAATTATTATTAGCTATGAAAATTAAAAAAATAAAAAAGATAAAATATTCAATTAGGTACATGTAAAATATAAAGATATGTTAAAGCAGTTCTCAGGCATAAACTTTATATGCTCAATTATCTCATAGAAAATGTAAACATAATAAGTGAAATAAAACATATATAAACAAAGAAACATCAAAAAATAAAAATACAATATTTAAAATGAAAAATATAGTAGACAGGATTAATTGTAGCTTAGATACTGCAGAAGAAAATACAGTGAACTCGAAAACAGCAATACAAACTATTCAAAAACGAAACAGAAAAAAATGAAAAGAAAAATTCTGTTTCATAAGTTAATATATCAAGCATTCTAGTGTACATGTAATTGGGATGCTCTGCAGGCAATGTCAGAAACAATATTTACAAATATAATGACTTAAAACTTTCCAAATAAACTATAAACCCACATGCCTAAGAAACACAACCTGATAAACACAAAGCCAATCATGCTAATACACATCACAATCAGTTACTGAAAGACAATGACAAAAAAGAAAATCAGCCCAAAAGCACATTGCCTACCCAAAGACATATATTAGAAAATCACAGACATCTCATCAAATATGACGTAAGACAAAAGAAAAAAAAATTCAACATAAATATCTATATTTAAAAGAAGTATCCTTCATAAATTATGCAAAATAAACACTTGTGCAGGGAAAAAACAAAGTTTATAGGCCACCAGCAGTCTTGAACTATATTACATATCAAAGGAAATTTTTAAGCCAAAAAAGGGATGTTACGTTGCGACTTTTATCTGTATAACAAAGAGCACCAGAAATGTTAAATATGTGAGTATAAAGTGTATTCATATAATTTCTAAATTTATTTTAAAACTATTTAACTATTATAGCTTTTACAACATATGTAGAAATAACTTATATAATCCTTTGGTGATGAGAAGAATGGGAAGAAAATGGAAGTATACTGCTGTAAAATTTTACATATATTGTGAAAGAATATAATATAATTTGATGGTAGGGTGTGATACATTAAAAGTGTATAATCAACAACACAGAAGTATTATTAGAAAAATTTTAAAACAGAAGAGTTAATGAGTTAATGTTGAAGATAAAATAAAATGTTAAATATTCTAGTTCAAAAGAAGATAATAAACGAGGACAAAAATCAACACAAATGAGAAAGGAGAACAAAAATTCATATAGCAAATTATTGCATTTGAACATTATTACATTGCTAAAGAAATAAATATACATAATCTAAAGTTCTAAATATAGATAGAGATTTCAAAATTGAATACAAAAGCAGGAGCCAAATATGCTCTGTCTACACATACTGAATTTAAATATAAATACACAAATAAAAAATGAAATGGATGAAAATGTATGGCATACAAAGATAAATCATAAAAAAGCTGAAGTGGCTGTTTTGATATTAGACCGATTGGATTTTAGGTGGAAATATAAGATCAGGGATAAATAAAGAAAATTTATTCATGATAAAGGGACCAAATCATGATTAATAATAAGGCAAATATGTAATGAGTATCCATCCAGTAGCAGAGCTTGAAAGTACAAGAAGTAAAAATGACTGAGGTGTTCACATTTATAGTTAGACATTTCAACACTACTTTCTCTGTAAGTGGTAGGGCAAGTTAGCAAAAATAAGTAAAGCTATAGGAAATATAACATTATCAATTAAATTTACCTAATTAAGATTTATAGAATACTCCAAAAAAACCCACAAAAGACACATTCTTTCTATAGACACATTCATCAAGATTGACCATATGATGCTGCATAATGCACCTTTCTTTATAAATTTTTAAGTGCCTTATCAAATATGTCACATCACCACAATAAAATCAAATAAAAATCTGTAAGAAAACATTTGAATAACCCAAAAATTGGGTATTTAAAATTCAATACTGGAAATTCAATAACATAAGCCAGACGACAGTCAAACAAAAGAAATTACAAAATACATTAGAAATACTCAAAATAATTGAAAATGAGCCATGGTACCATGGCTCATGCCTGTAATCCCACTACTCTGGGAGGCCGAGGTGGGCAGATTGCTTTAGCCCAGGAATTTGAGGCCAGCATGGGTAACATTGTGAAAACCCGTCTCTACAAAAAAATACACACAAAAAAAGCTGGGCATGGTCACATGAGTCAGTAGCTACTCAGAAGGCTGAGGGAGGATCACCTGAGCCTGGGAGGCTGAGACTGCAGAGCGACTGCACTCCAGCCTGGGTGACAGAGTGAGACTATGTCTCAAAAAAAAAAAAAAAAAAAAAAAAAAAAGGAAAATAAACAAAAAAACATATATCAAAATTTCTGGGCTGCAACTAAAGCAGTCTATAGAGGAAAATTTGTACATTTAAATGCTTATATTAGGAAAATAAAAATTTCAATTTACTAATCAAACCTTCAAATTTTAGAAGGTAGAAATAGAAAAGCAAATCAAGTACAAAATAAAAGGAGGCAGGGAATAACAATTGCAGAAACAGAGATAAATATAAAATGAAAAAGATAAAATAACCAAAAGCAGTTTCTTAGAAACTATCAATAAAAATGATAAATCCCTAGTTAGGTTAACAAAAACAGGCCGGCTGTGGTAGCTCATGCCTGTAATTCCAGTACTTTGGGAGGCCGAGGCGGGCAGATCACGAGGTCAGGAGATCAAGACCATCCTGGCTAACACGGTGAAACCTCGTCTCTACTAAAAATACAAAAGAAATTAGCCGGGCGTGGTGGCGGGCGCCTGTAGTCCCAGCTACTCGGGAGGCTGAGGCAGGAGAACGGTGTGAACCCGGGAGGCGGAGCTTGCAGTGAGCCGAGATCGCGCCACTGCAGTCCAGCCTGGGCGACAGAGTGATCCTCCGTCTCAAAAAACAAAACAAAACAAACAAAAAACAAAAAAGAGAAACACAAATTACTGATAATAGGAATAAAAAAGAGTTATCATTACATATCCCTGTGTCATAAATAAATACTAAGAAAATATAAAAAACTTTTTGCTAATGTATGTATTTGAAGTATTAATAAAATGGAGAGATCCCTTGTAAGGTGTAAATTTCCCAAACCCATTTAGATAAAGTAGAAAAAAGAAATGCCCTATTTCACTTAAAATAGATTAAATTACTAAAACGTCTCCCACCCTAGTAGAAAGTGATAAACTTATTTTAAAATTTACATAAAAATTCAAATGAGGAGACAAAAAGTTGATGGACTTGAACTTCCTGATTTCTAGCCTTTTTATAGAGCTGCATTGATCAAGATAGCATAAGGTTGGCCTAAGAAAAAACATGTATCAGTGGAATAGAAGAGATAATCCATACATGGCCGCATTTGATCACACACGTTGTTAATTAGTTTTTCACAAAGGTGCTAAGACAATTAAATGTGGAAAAGGTAAAATTTTTGGCTATGAAGGTTTCTGGTTTCCAGGGTAGCATGTAAGGAATTTGTCCTAACAACAAACAAAAAGCTGAATAAACAAACAAACAAACAAAAAACAGTAATTCTTCTTAGATCCATATAATAAGGGAGGTCACAGGGCAAATCACAGTCACCAAAATTGAACAAGTGGATACAAAAGATCACAACTTGACAAATCCTGAAGTGAGAAAATCCCACTGCTGGGTATATATTCAAAAGAAAGGAAATCAGTGTATCAAACAGAGATATTTGCCTTCTCATGTTTATTGCAGCAAAATTCCCAATAGTGAAGATATGGAATCAACCTAAGTATCCATCAATAGAAGAATGAATAAACAAAATGCGTTGTATATACCCAATGGAAAATTATTCTGTTACAAAAAAGAGTCAAATCCTGTCATTTGCAACAATATACATGGAAATGAAGGTCATTATGTTAAGTGAAATAAGACAAACACACAAGACAGATGTTGCATGTTCTCATTCACATGTGGGAGCTAAAACAATTGATTCCATGGAAGTAATTAATAGAACCATGATTACCAGAAGATGGAAATAATAATGGGAAGGACAGGATATAAAGGGGTTTGTTAATGGCTGCAAAAATACAGTTAGAAGGAATGGATCTAGTGTTTGGTAGCACAATTGAATGACTATGGTCAATATTAATTTATTGTATGTTTCAAAATAATTGGAAGATTAGATATGGAATGTTTTCAAGACAAAGAAATTATAAATGTTTGAGGTGATGAATATCTCAATTAACTGTTTGATCATTACATATTGTATGCTTACATCAAAATGTCATATCTCCCCCAACTAATAAAGCTGAAGTGACTATATTATTTTGAGACAGAGCACACTTCAGAGCAAGGAAAGCTATCAGGGATAAAGAAGGGCATTACATAATGATAAAGTGGTCAATTCCCCCAAAATACATAATAAGGCTTAATATGTATGCATGTAATAACAGAGCATCAAACAATATGATGCAAAAATTGATAGAACTTTCAAGGAGAAATAGATGAATCCACCCTTATAGTTGGAGACATCAATATTCTTCTAACAGAAATGGACACAGCTAGTAGGCAGAAAATCACTAAGGACATAGTTGAACTTAACAACATTATAAACTGATTTGATATCATTAATACATATAGACTACTTCATTCAGCAATGAAAAATTACATGTTCTTTCAAGTTCATAAAACATTCATAAACATAGACTCCACCTAAATCACACATTGTCTGCTCTCAAATCACAGTGAAATTAAACTAGAAATCAGTAACAGCAAAATAACTGTAAATTCCTAAAATACATAATTAAACAACATACTTCTAAATAACACATGGGTCTAAGTAGAAATTGAAAAAAATTCAGTAATAGTTTAAATCAAATAATAACTTAAAAACAACATCAAATTTTGTGGGTTGAAGCAAAAGAAGTATTTAGAGAGAAACTTATAACATTGAATGCATATATTACAAAATAAGGATCTAAAATTAACAATCTAATTACCACCTTTGGAAACTAGAAATAAAGAACAAATTAAATTCAAAGTAAAAGAAGAAAAAAAGAACAAAAATTTGAGCAGACATTGAATAAAACAATTGTAAACAGAAAAGCAATAGGGAAAATCAACTAAACCAAAATAGGTTTCTTTGAAAATATTATTATAATTGATAAGTCTGTAGCCAGACTAATTAAGAAAAAAGAGAAAGGACACAAATTACTAATATTAGAAACAAAAGAGGGCCTATTATTACAGAGTCTATGGGCATTAAAAAAAAAAACAACTATGAACATATATGACCACAGATTTGCTAAACTAGATGAAATGGACTGATGCCTATAAAGACACAATCCTCCAAAACTTACACAAGAAATAGAAAGCCTGAATAGATCTATATTTATTTAAGATATTGGATCAAAAATTAAGAAACTTCCAAAATAAAAAGCATCAGGCCCTATGAATTCACCTGTGACATCTGTAAACGTTTAAGGAAAAAAATTATGTCATTTCTCTAGAATTACATTTAGAAGATAAAAGCAGAGGGAATACTTCCTAACACATTTGATGAGGAGAGCATTATCTAAATAGAAAAATAGGCAAAGACATTATGAGAATATATACACCAATATCTCTCATGAATATAGAAGCAAAAATCCTCAACAAAATATTAGCAAATTTAATCCAAAAATGTATGAAAAGAATTATACGCCATGACAAAGTGATATTTTTCCCAAGTATGCAAGACTTGTTCAAATTTTAAAATCATTTAATACAATCCATTGCATCAACAGGCTCAAGAAGAAAAATCACATGGTCATATAAATAGATATGAAAGATTCAGAAAAATTATTTCACTAAATCCAACATCCATTCATGACAACAATTCTCAGCAAACAAGGAATAGAAGGAAACTTCCTCAACTGATAAAGAGGATCTAACAGCTAACATTACATTAAATGGTGAGAGATCAGAAGTATTCTCAGTAAGGGTGGGGACAAGGCAAGGATGGTGTGTCTCACCATTTCTGTTCAATATCCCTTAAGAATTCCTAGTTAATTCAATGAAAGAAGAAAAATAAATGAGAAGTATACAGATTGAAAGGAAGAAATAAAAATGTCTTTGTTTACAGATGACATGACCATATATGTAAAATATCTGGAATAACTGAAAAAAAGAACTCCTGTAACAAATAAACAACTATAGCCAAGTTATAGGATATTATTAATATAGAAAATCCAGCATTTTCCTATATACTAGTAATAAAGAAGTAGAGTTTGAAATTACAAAGAACATATCATTTACATTAACACTCCCAAAAACAAAATGTTTGGGAATAAATTTAATAAAATGTGTAAAAAATCTATACAAGGAAAACTATAAATCTCTGATACAAGAAATCAAAGAACTGCACAAATGGCAAGATATTCCTTATTCATAGATAGGAAGAAACAATATTGTCAAGATTTCAGTTGTTTTCAATTTTGTCTTTAGACTCCAATTAAAAAAAAACAGCAAGTATTTGTGGATATTAACAAGCTAATTCTAAAATCTATATGGAGAGGCAAAAAGACACAGAACAGACAACTTAATATTGAAGGAGGAGAACAAAGTCAGAGTATTTATACTACATGGCTTAAAAATTTACTTTTAAGCTGCATAAATAAAATAGTGTGTTACTGGTGAAAAAACAGACAACTCAGTCAGTGGAACAGAATAGAGAGCCCAGAAATACATTCACATGATATCTCAACGGATCTTTGACAAAGGAGCAAAACTAGCACAATGAAGAAAATATTGTTTTTTCAACAGTGTGCTAGAGCAACTGGAGCATCACACACAAATAGAAGAAACATGTGTATAGGCACAGACCTTACACACTTCACAAAAATATTTAACTTAAAATAGATCGTAGATCTAAATATAAAACACACAAACTATTAAACTTCTAGCAGATAGCATAATAGAGAATCTAGATTACTTTGGGCATGGCAATGACTTTTTAGATACACCATCGAATGTATGATCCATGAAAGAAAGAATTGAAAAGCTAAAGTTCATTAAATTAAAAACTTCAGCTGGGCAAAATTCACTGTGAAAACAATGAGAAGGCAAGTGACAGATCAAAAGAAAATATTTGCAAATGATATATCTGATAAAAGACTGTTATTCAAAATATACAAAGAACTATTAAAACTCAACAATCAAGAAGTGAACAATGCAAATAAAAATTGGCAAAAGACCTGAACAGACATTTCATCAAAGAAGATATACAGATAGCAAATAAGCACATGAAAAGATGTTCCACAGCATATGCCATTAGGGAAATGCAAATTAAAACAATGAACTACCACTACACACACCTATTAAAATGGCCAAAGTCTAGAACACTACACCAAATGCTAGAGAGGATGTGTAGCAACAGGGACGCTCATTCATTGCTGGCAGGAACACAAATTGTAGTCACTTTGGAAAACAGTTTGGTAATTTTTTACAAAACTAAACATACTCTTATCATATGACGCAGAAATCACGTTTGTTGGTATTTAGTCAAATAAGTTAATAACTTAAGTTCACAAAAAAAAGACGCACAGGAATATTTATAAACAGATTTATTTATAATTGGCTAAACGTTGAAGCATCCAAGATGTCCTTCAGCAAATATAGGAGAATTATAAATGGCTACAACTTAGTAAAGTAAACCTTAAATTTCTACTATTTAGTGAAAACCCCGCATACTGCATGACTGCAACTTTATGACATTCTGGCAAAGGCAAAACTATGAAGTCAGTAAAACTATCTGTGGCTGCTAAGAGTTAGTGGGGAGATAGGAATAGGTGAAGCACAGAAGATTTTCACAGCAGTGAAACTACTTTTTATGATAGTGTAGAGGTGGATACATGTCATTTTACATAATGCGTAACACCAAGAGTAAATCCTAATGTGAACTATGCACTTTAGATGGTAATGATGTTACAACGTATTTTCTTTTCTTTATTATTATTATTATTATTATTATTATTATACTTTAAGTTTTAGGGTACATGTGCACAATGTGCAGGTTTGTTACATATGTATACATGTGCCATGTTGGTGTGCTGCACCCATTAACTCGTCATTTAGCATTAGGTATATCTCCTAATGCTATCCCTCTCCTCTCCCGTATTTTCATCAATTGTAGCAAATATACCACTCTAGTCTGGGGGGTTGATAGTGGAGAAAGGGGCAGAGAGGGGGGACAGGGAATCTATAGAAACTCCCAGCACTTTCTGATCTATTTTGCTATGAAACTAAACTACTCTAAAAAATAAAGTATATTTACAAGAGGGTTGGGGAGATAGTCTTTTGAACAAATGTTGCAGACGCAGTTAGGTGATATCCAAATGGAAAAAAAAAACTTTAAATAACTTTACTACTATCTCATATCATTTGAAATAGACCTCAGACTTAAACCTATAAGCTAAAATAATATATTATCTAAAAAAACACAGGAGGATAAATTTTGTAAAGTTTGATAAAGAGTTTCTTAGAGCACAAAATGCGCAAGCCATTTAAAAAAATAGATAAATTGTATTTAATCAGAGACATTTTTGTTTTAAAATTATATCATTTAAAAAGTAAAGGGCAAGCTGCAGAATGGGAGAAAATACAGTCTATATATCTATAAAGAACTTACATATTTGTATATATATGCAAGTCCATATATATAGATTGTTTGACATTGATTTGTAAATATTATACATATAATGTATTACAACTATATTATCTATAATTGCATATATACATGTATGTTTCTATAAATATATTATTAACAATTTAACATTTGTATTATTTACAAATCTTTTTGTTCAAGGAAATATATGAGTGGTCAATAAGTGCAGGATGAAATACTCAATATCAAGTTCTCAAGTCAAAAAATAAAATAAAACCACAAGATTTTAAACAAATATTAATGACTAAAACTAATAAAAAATTGTTAATACCAATTGTTGACCAGAATAGAGAGCCATACCAAATTCTCATTCATTGCTTTCAGGAATGTAAAATGAGATCTATACTTTGGAAAACAGTCTGATAGTATCTTAAATAGTTAGATATTCATTTATTATATATTGGCAGCAATTCTATTCATAGATAAGCCTAAACAGGGACTTGAATAGAAATGCCATACCAGCTCCAGCTTTGTTTCGATAAACCCAAACTGGAATTAACCCACAAATTCATCAACAAATGAATGAGTAAATAATTTATTATACATTTATCTGTATTTACCATTTAGTGATATGAAGGAACATACCATTGATAAATATAATACGAATGAATTAATCTCAAAAACATAATAAAGAAGCAAAACATTTAAAAAAGTACTATTTTTTAAAACTCTAGCAAAGATACACTGAATATGAAATGACAGAAAGAAAATCAAGGGTTGTCTAGGTCAAGGGGGTGTGGGAAGATTTACCTGTAATGGTATACATCTTTGTTAAAATTAATTTAACTGTAAATTGAATGTTTTATAGCATTTAAGCTATTCATAGAAAACATCAATTTAATATACAAGAGAGTAAAAAAGGCAACAGAAGGCAAATATAAGAAAACTGACCTGTTTCTTTTCTAAGTACCACTCCCTCAGAAAAGATTCAGGGCTTAGACCTCAGACAAAGTTAAATCTTACATAAGGGTAGCCACGAGGCCCCTTAAGAACACAACCAGCTCTTTTGGTAGTTTTCCATTAATTTGCTTTCTTTCTTAACTGGAATGATCTGTACAGTACGACATGATAGACATCACTCCTCTAGGTTAAGCAAGAATTGCAGTAAAGCTATCTTCAAGAGGTGAAGGTTAAAATAAATACATGGTACTAGGAAGATGAGGCAACATAATACCTTACTAGATATACTAAATAAGAGGTTTTCTAGGATAAGAATTTCTGACCAAATATAGATAAGCTTCATGACAAGGAAAGAAAACAGAAAAATGAGGCCCATGTGGATGGGAGAAGGCATGGAGAGAGTCCATTTGGTAAAATGAGGAGATTTGAACTTAGGAAGCAAAATTGCCTTTGGTTAGTTTAGAATACTTTGAGTATGGGTAAGGTAGGTCAAATGAGCTGCAATAGAAGTGAGTGTACATGATTTCTTTCTCTATTTTGTTTTGTGGTATGTATCCAGGATTTAGATCAGTGTGTGGCATGTGAGAAGCACTAAATATTTGTTAAAAGAGGAGATCAATTAATAAAGATGGGTATATAAAGAGTACAATGAGCTATGAAAATGAAAGTCATTTGCTATCCAAACACCTAGTAGAGTGTCTGAGCATATATTATACTTAATATGGGTGGTTTTAATAACTAATATTTCATAATTTTGGCTAAAATTAGCCCTGTGACAATTGAAGCTCAGGGTTATCCATGAATATTTTGGAATATTTTTCAAAGAAGGGAAATATGTAAGGTTAATAAAAGCAGTACAGTTATAAGAACGATATTTTAACTTTGTTAAAAATTTCTCACTTCCCATCTGTTCATATTATATTTCAGTGCTTTAGGGAAAAAACCTCTTTGACCTGAAGTTCAGAGCTAATACTCAAGTTAAAATAAAAGCTGTTCAGTACTAATTATAATGATGAAAGAGTAGAGAAGTTAGAGAACTATATTCTTGTGATTTAGTCACTTAACTAACTGTATTTTAAATGAAAGGAGGTTGTTAAAGCAACTAAATAGGAAAAAAAAACGTTTTAGGGGTGGTGGCTTCCATAAAAGTATAATCTAGTGAGCTGTGCCTGTATTCCAGGCCCCTATTCTCAGTGGACTCCTGCGCCTTAGTGTGCTTTCTGAGACATTTTTAAGATCCCTTCTAGTGTTCTGGATCTGTGATTACAGACAAAATGGTATGAGCAAGTCTTCTCATGTCCTGACTTGGACCCTTCAGGGTACTCTGGAAACCTCTACCTCACACCAGACTCTGTCTGCTTGTGGAGGTGACTAGATGTCCCTGGAAGTTCTGGGATCCAGAAATTGGTTTTTCCTGAAACATTGTAGTCAGGCTGGTTCCAGAAGTGTAGCTTAGCGGCAAACTGCTCCTGTTTTTCAATGTGGTACTTCTTTCCAAGTATTGCACATACTAATTTGTGGTGATATAAATTGTTTTTATAGGCAAGGGGCCCTATTTACTAGTATCTCTCTAACTCTTCTAACCTGAAAGAAGAAAAATAAAAGGTAAAAGAATAGCAAAATGGTAAAGTGACAATATCTGAAAACAGATTTAACAATAATGAAATATTAGCAGTCCTATTATAAATTTACCTTACTATATATGTAATTCTACTAAGGCAGAATTTAGGGGTAAAACTGCTGCATTTAAAATTCAAGTAATTAGATTAAAACAAAAATGAGGCATTTGAAGAGCCAAAACTAGGTTACATTTGGAAGCAATTAGAAAAAATCTGTTTAGACTGAGGGCAGAAAACATAGTTTCTCTGTATTTCCAAAGTACAGAACATTTGCTAGGTA
This sequence comes from Homo sapiens, assembly GCF_000001405.40. NCBI lineage: Eukaryota > Metazoa > Chordata > Mammalia > Primates > Hominidae > Homo > Homo sapiens. Next base: position 94,880,169 of record NC_000006.12, on the reverse strand, counting down.
AGAGTGGCTATGCTCTAGAAAATAAACAAATGTATGTTTGCAACCAATATTTATTGAACTAGGAGTACATAAAGGTTACTTAATAAGGCATCATGCCATGACTAAATGATTCTAGTGCTGTTAAATATTGCCTTGCACTTATTAAACATGTGATAAATATTTGTAACCTAAATGGAGCTTGTCTTCTGTTGGATTTTTATATTAATAATGCATTAGATTTCTGTAAGAAGAAGATAGTAAATTCAAAGGTATATGTGACAGTTCGAAGCACAAAAAGGAAACACAAGAAGGAAGATTTTTTGCACTAAGGCATTTATAATGTAATGTCATAGCATTGGGAATTGACCTTGTACTCCTTAAAATAATCCAATTAAGAGTTTTCAACTTTGAATGTGTCAATATGCAAATAGCATTTGGAAAATTATATATGAAACACAGAATCAAAGCAAATGTGAATTCTTTTGTGGAGAGGATCCAAACGTTGAAACTCTCCTCAAAGCCTTCTATGTAGTAGGTCCTAAGAAATATTTAGATTATGTTTTATATATACATTTCCCACATTTAGGGTTGCTTTATGTTTTTTAAAATATTATAAATATTATAATTATTCCATGAAAATTCTGAGTAAAAACATTTTTATATAAAATATTGCCTTTAGCTTTCATAAGGCTAAAGACCGGATCAAGTTCTAATTCATATTTTCTTGTTTATATGCTATCTACAACTGGGAGAACGAAATATTTTGTGTGATAGGAGAGTTTCTAGAGCTTATCCTTCTGAATTAAATAGAAATATTGTAACTCTCAATTCAAAATATAAAAAAAAATGTAAGTGTTGGGGTCTTGGCTTGACAGAAGATCATAATATGATTTTAGTATTATTTTTTCTCTGACAAAATGTAGCATTTACTGACACAATGGGAATATATTTAGTTTAGTTTGGCTATGGGAGTAGTTAACATGGAGATATATTTAATTGAATAGGGTAGATTCTAAGTTTTCTTGAAGACTAGATTCACACTATTCACCATAATATATATTAAATTTAAAATATTCACTTGTTAATAATTACACTTCTTCTTAGTATATATTTCTTTTCTGGGAGATAGTGACTTCTGAGCCTTTCCACGGAAAATATAATTTTATGTTAAGCCTTGTGTGCTTAGGTATATTTGAAAATATGCTGAGTAGATTTAAATTTCAAGTTATTTTATAAAAATCTGGAAAATGCACAAATTTTACAGGATGGCCCTCTTCAGAGTAACTCTTATGTTTAGAAATTGTGATATGATTATAAACAAACAAAACTGCATAAAAGTGATTTTTTGAAGAGTAGGAAAACACATATTCTACATCTTTGGAGGGTAGATTTTAAGTATTCTTAATCTGCTGAGTCAAAGTATTTATAACTGAATAGTCTCCCTTCTGTTTGTTTATTACTTTGGTTTAAACTGTTTTCAGGATGAAGGATATTGGAACCGAGGTTGATGATTTAAATTGGCAATTCCATGTTGACATTTGCCTACTAGCTCAATTCCACCACCAAAATGATTCACTGTCGTTTCTATAATAAATAATATAATTCTTATGAAAAAGATTGATTAAATTGATTTTCTTTTACTCTAACCACAAACATTGCTTCTATGCACTTGGTGCACTTTTAATTTTTATTATAATTTTATGCCTTTTAAATGGAGCTTCTGCCTAGGAAGAGTTAGCTCCTGGGATCTCTCCTGCTTATCTCATTTGCCTCCTTTTCTCTGAAATTGCACATGAAACATGCTCCAAAACACTCCCACTGAGACATATGAATTACCTGTCTACTTGTGGCTGGGAAAACTCACAGGGAAATGCACAATGAAGCTAAAACTCATGTTTTGCCAAAAATAAAAATTGGACAAATAGCAGGAATCCAGTAGTTTATTATACAAAAATATATATTTGGGTATGAATTTCATTAAACTAAATGAAACAATCCTTTCTGGATATATGATGCTATGGCTTGTTGCATTTAACATAGACAAATATTTAAGTAGTCCTTTTTCTTTTTTAAGTTTCTGTTTCTAATGGTAAAACGTTTCTTCAGAAGGTGAGGATACTTTTTCTAATCAGTGAGACAATGAAGATATAATCACTCCCGCACACCCAACTATCTCCTAAAAAACATGTTTATTATATAGACATATCAGATAAAAACACAGATGTTTTCTAAACTCTGCTTACTGCTTCCATGATATCATTCTTTTGATAGTTTGCTACTGATTTCCATATGTTCTCTTCTTTCTTATTCCAAAGATGATCTTTGGGGTCTAGTCAACAAAACCTTTTGAGGGAATAAAACTCCTATTCTTCTCTTGCTTGTTTTGTAAAAGAATAAAATCCTCTTCCCAAAATATATCTGAAGATAGCATCACTGTTAGTAAAGTCAAGATGAAATCAATTATTTAGAAAATAAACCAGTATTTTCCAAAGGGGGTGTATAAGATGATCCATTCAAGTTTATAACATGTAACAAAGGTGTTTTCATATTTATATTTTATTATTTTTAATTTTCTATTTTTTACACATTTTATAATATTTATACAAAATTATCATAGAAAAATACATAGAGGAAATACTGCTTTAAAGTGGTCAAAGATATTCCCCTAGAGCCTGACCACTTAGGTCTAAATCCTCCCTCCATCCCTTACTAAGTAAGGCAGTTTGGCAAAGTTACTTTTCTGTGCCTTATTTTTAAAGTAAGAATGGTAATAGTACCTGTAATTGCTTCATGGATAATGCAATGATTAAATGAGTTAATACTTATAAAGTATTAACTTATAAAGTAAATACAACATTATATGGCTTGTTTAGCTAGTGTTAAATTATTATTACATATAACTTATAAATAAGTAGAGGCACATATATTGAGAATGTATATATTTAAAAACTTGTTAAAATAGCACATAATCAAAATATAAAAATCCTTAAAATATATGCATTTCTAATCCAGGAATACTAAGATGTCATGAGAATAGGTCTTAAAAGTAATGGCAATTTTCTAAATTGGTGGATAAGAAAACCCACAATGTGATGCATAAAAAGGTCCTGTGATGAAAATGTTCTTCTTGCTGAAGCATATCATGACAAAAGCATTTCAATTGCTTAGAAAGACACACATAGGTTTGTTTCTGGCCAATAAGTTTTTGTGAGATCTTGGACAAATTAGTTCAGCAATCTGAGAATCACTTTCTCATCTAATAAATTGCAATAGTAATATTTATTTTATAGAGTTAAACAATTTATTACATGTAAGATGCTGAGTGTATTGCTTGCCACAAAATCAATGCTAAATAAAAGAATCAGTTTAATTTCCTATCTCCAGTCACAGCATCTTAAATTCCTGTATTCCTTATATAATAAAAATTTTTATTGGTGGAAATTCTGTTTATATGCTTTATTTTGAAATATTTATTAGCTAATCAGTTTATCTAAAGCATTCTACAAGCATAGAATAAGTACGTTGATGAGGGCATAGAGTAACTTAGAATGGAAGTATTGGTATTTCTCATGGGCATTCTGAGCTTCAGCAAATTTCGTTTGTGTTGGGGGGCCTTACAAGGCTCAACTATGTCCTCTTAGTTCCCTTAGTATCTCATGGGAGTTGTCAATGAGATTGTTTGACTGACATGCTTCCTTAGCTCAACTGTGACACCAACCGTTCCCCTAACTGTCATGCTACACAACATAAAGGCAAGGAGAATGTCTAGGCCTATTTCCAACCTCTAAGAGTGAACTGGGAAGGGGGAAATTATACCTTCTCACTCCTAATCACACTGAACTTTGATCCATTTACGCCCTAAATCATATGGGATATTTCTGTATACTTGCTGGCTTTAGAAATCTCCAGAGCAGGACCAGGGACCAGGTTTATACTGTATAAAAGTATATTCCCTCCAGGTAAGACACTGATGTCCACATCAAGCTTTCCAAGAGAAAACAGCCCTTACCTAGAATGTTCTCAAAACTGTCACCTTCTCTACCCTACTGTCTCCTGTAGGTAAAGGCAATACTATACCAGTTGGGTCTCTCTTGAGCTTAGAAGCCTACTGGTCATCTCTCATCAATATCTGAGCCCACTTGGAACATAGTGTATGAGAATTTAATATTTTTTCTCAGTGACATGCTGTCACAAAATCTCAGGATGATTTGGCAATCTAGATGAATACATACACATATACATACATGTACTTTAATACGAAATTTACACCACTAGGGAGCCACATATGGCCTGGAGGAAAGTCAGGGGACACAGAAAAAGAATAAGAAAATATTGACACATCACACTCCGGGGACTGTTGTCGGGGGAGTGGGGAGGGATAGCATTAGGAGATATACCTAATGTTAAATGACGAGGTAATGGCTGTAGCACACCAACATGGCCCATGTATACATATGTAACAAACCTGCACATTGTGCACATGTACCCTAAAACTTAAAGTGTAATAATAGTAAAATTTAAAAAAAAGAAAATATTGACACATGCTAAAATAAACTTTTTAAAATATATTTTTCCTACATTTGGCTTATAATACAACAGAGAACTCAAAAACATCAAATTATTTATTCCTTATGAGATATTGATTTTGGCAGGGAGTTTGTTGCAGCAATTCAAAGATTAATGAGCTCTGATGTGGGCATATTGGGCTTAGGATGCCTCTGGGCAGCTGGGTGGCTGGACAACAATACATGGTCTACAGCTGGATCTGTGGATCTGGGTTCATGGGGAAGTTTGCAATAGTCATAATCATGCAGGTGAACAGGAAAGCCTTAAGTGGGAACAAGATCACAAAAAGAGTGTGCATGAAGTGATTAAAGGGTGAAGAACCCAAACTGGGGCACTTCATCATTTAAAGAAGTGCAAAGGAAAAAGGAGCCTGCTGAGGAGCCTAAATGTGAGTGGCTGCAATATTATGAGTTATCACAGAATCATAAAGGAGGGTGTTTTAGTAGGTAGGAAGTAAATACTATTGTCACAATCCCCAGAGTAAACATAATTGTACAGACTATATTGAAACGAGGACCAGGGAGTAATTTTTAATTTGGTAATACAGGGTTTCAAAAAAATAATGTTGAAGGAATCTATAGATGAATGATTTAAGAATAAAGGGATGTAAAAATGTGGATACCAACATGTATAGATGCTGTTTATGACATTTGGGGACCTGGGACATTTATTAAGAATTATCTCTTAATCAAAGGCTTTACAGCAATATGCTTATATGCTAAAATATTTATTCCATCTTTAGGTCCAAGTTCATTATTCGCTGCATGCTCAGCTCATTTTCTTGCTATCTTACTAATGCATTAGGTAGTTTAGATGAAGAAAGTGGTTCAGTAGCTTTGAGTAATATGATGAGAACCATTAGGCAAAATTGGAGCATGATTATTCTGAAGAAAAAAAGCCTGTGTTCACATATCATTTCATACATGGTCAAGAACATTGTTGATGATCAAGAAGTGTTGAGCTGATTCTGGGAGAAATGTGTTTTCAAAACCAAACCATCATATCTACTAAGGGCTAATATCGTATATTATTAATTATGTAGGTGAAGTCAGGGACATTTTTATTAACATGTTTTTTTTAAGTGAACGAAGACTTACACTTTACACATAAATTTTTTGTATCAACCTATGAGTGAAGTATAGTTTAGATTTTAGAGATGCAATGCCTTTAAAAAAAGACTTGGGTGGAGCCAAGATGGCTGAATAGGAACAGCTCCTGTCTACAGCTCCCAGCATGAGCGACACAGAAGATGGGTGATTTCTGCATTTCCATCTGAGGTACCGGGTTCATCTCACTAGGGAGTGCCAGACAGTGGGTGCAGGACAGTGGGTGCAGTGTACCTTGCGCCAGCCAAAGCAGGGTGAGGCATTGCCTCACTTGGGAAGTGCAAGGGTTCAGGGAGTTCCCTTTCCTAGTCAAAGAAAGGGGTGACAGACACCTGGAAAATCAGGTCACTCCCACCATAATAGGGCGCTTTTCCAAGGTGCTTAAAAAACGGCACACCAGGTGATTATATTCCACACATGGCTCGGAGGGTCCTACCCCTACGGAGTCTCACTGATTGCTAGCACAGCAGTCTGAGATCAAACTGCAAGGCAGCAGCCAGGCTGGGGGAAGGGCGCCTGCCATTGCCCAGGCTTGATTAGGTAAACAAAGCAGCTGGGAAGCTAGAACTGGGTGGAGCCCACCACAGCTCAAGGAGGCCTGCCTGCCTCTATAGGCTCCACCTCTGGGGGCAGGGCACAGACAAACAAAAAGACAGCAGTAACCTCTGCAGACTTAAATGTCCCTGCCTGACAGCTTTAAAGCGAGTAGTGGTTCTCCCAGCATGCAGCTGGAGATCTGAGAATGGGCAGACTGCCTCCTCAAGTGGGTCCCTGACCCCCGAGCAGCCTAACTGGGAGGCACCCCCCAGTAGGGGCAGAATGACAACTCACACGGCCGGGTACTCCTCTGAGACAAAACTTCCAGAGGAACTATCAGGCAGCAGCACTTGTGGGTCACCAAAATCCGAGATTCTACAGCCACCACTGTTCTGCAGTCACTGCTGCTGACACCCAGGCAAAAAGCGTCTGGAGTGGACCTCTAGCAAACTCCAACAGACCTGCAGCTGAGGGTCCTGTCTGTTAGAAGGAAAACTAACAAACAGAAAGGACATCCACACCAAAACCCATCTGTACATCACCATAATCAAAAACCAAAAGTAGGTAAAACCACAAAGATGGGGAAAAAACAGAGCAGAAAAACTAGAAACTATAAAAAGCAGATCACCTCTCCTCCTCCGAAGGAACACAGCTCCTCACCAGCAACGGAACAAAGCTGGATGGAGAATGACTTTGACGAGTTGAGAGAAGAAGGCTTCAGAAGATCAAACAACTCCGAGCTATAGGAGGAAATTCAAACCAATGGCAAAGAAGTTAGAAACCTTGAAAAAAAATTAGACAAATGGATAACTAGAATAACCAATGCAGAGAAGTCCTTAAAGGAGCTGACGGAGCCGAAAGCCAAGGCTCCAGAACTACGTGAAGAATGCAGAAGCCTCAGGAGCTGATGTGATCAACTGGAAGAAAGGGTATCAGTGATGGAAGACGAAATGAATAAAATGAAGCAAGAAGGAAAGTTTAGAGAAAAAAGAATAAAAAGGAATGAACAAAGCCTCCAAGAAATATGGGACTATGTGAAAAGACCAAATCTACGTCTCATTGGTGTACCTGAAAGTGACAGGGAGAATGGAACCAAGTTGGAAAACACTCTGCAGGATATTATCCAGGAGAACTTCCCCAATCTAGCAAGGCAGGCTAACATTCAGATTCAGGATATACAGAGAATGCCACAAAGATACTCCTCGAGAAGAGCAACTCCAAGACACATAATTGTCAGATTCACCAAAGTTGAAATGAAGGAAAAAATGTTAAGGGCAGCCAGAGAGAAAGGTCGGGTTACCCACAAAGGGAAGTCAATCAGACTAACAGCGGATCTCTCAGCAGAAACTCTGCAAGCCAGAAGAGAGTGGGGGCCAACATTCAACATTCTTAAAGAAAAGAATTTACAACCCAGAATTTCATATCCAGCCAAACTAAGCTTCATAAGTGAAGGAGAAATAAAATGCTTTACAGACAAGCAAATGCTGAGAGATTTTGTCACCACCAGGCCTCCCCTAAAAGGGCTCCTGAAGGAAGCACTAAACATAGAAAGGAACGACCAGTACCAGCCACTGCAAAATCATGCCAAAATGTAGACCATCAAGACTAGGAAGAAACTGCATCAACTAACGAGAAAAATAACTAGCTAACATCATAATGACAGGATCAAATTCACACATAACAATATTACCTTTAAATGTAAATGGGCTAAATGCTGCAATTAAAAGACACAGACTGGCAAATTGGATAAAGAGTCAAGACCCATCAGTGTGCTGTATTCAGGAAACCCATCTCACATGCAGAGACACACATAGGCTCAAAATAAAGGGATGGAGGAAGATCTACCAAGCAAATGGAAAACAAAAAAAGGCAGGGGTTGCAATCCTAGTCTCTGATGAAACAGACTTTAAACCAACAAAGATCAAAAGAGACAAAGAAGGTCATTACATAATAGTAAATGGATCAATTCAACAAGAAGAGCTAACTGTCCTAAATATATATGCACCCAATACAGGAGCACCCAGATTCATAAAGCAAGTCCTTAGTGACCTACAAAGAGACTTAGACTCCCACACAATAATAATGGGAGACTTTAACACCCCACTGTCAACATTAGACAGATCAATGAGACAGAAAGTTAACAAGGATACCCAGGAATTGAACTCAGCTCTGCACCAAGCAGACCTAATAGACATCTACAGAACTCTCCACCCCAAATCCACAGAATATACATTCTTTTCAGCACCACATGACACCTATTCCAAAATTGACCACATAGTTGGAAGTAAAGCACTCCACAGCAAATGTAAAAGAACAGAAATTATAACAAACTGTCTCTCAGACCACAGTGCAATCAAACTAGAACTCAGGATTAAGAATCTCATCCAAAACCGATCAACTACATGGAAACTGAACAACCTGCTCCTGAATGACCACTGGGTACATAACGAAATGAAGGCAGAAATAAAGATGTTCTTTGAAACCAACGAGAACAAAGACACAACATACCAGAGTCTCTGGGACACATTCAAAGCAGTGTGCAGAGGGAAATTTATAGCACTAAATGCCCACAAGGGAAAGCAGGAAAGATCCAAAATTGACACCCTAACATCACAATTAAAAGAACTAGAAAAGCAAGAGCAAACACATTCAAAAGCTAGCAGAAGGCAAGAAATAACTAAAATCAGAGCAGAACTGAAGGAAATAGAGACACAAAAAAACCTTCAAAAAATTAATGAATCCAGGAGCTGGTTTTTTGAAAAGATCAACAAAATTGATAGACTGCTAGCAAGACTAATAAAGAAGAAAAGAGAGAAGAATCAAATAGACACAATAAAAAATGATAAAGGGGATATCACCACTGATCCCACAGAAATACAAACTACCATCAGAGAATACTACAAACACCTCTATGCAAATAAACTAGAAAATCTAGAAGAAATGGATAAATTCCTGGACACATACATCCTTCCAAGACTAAGCCAGGAAGAAGTTGAATCTCTGAATAGACCAATAACAGGCTTTGAAATTGAGGCAATAATCAATAGCTTACCAACCAAAAAAAGTCCAGGACCAGATGGATTCACAGCCGAATTCTACCAGAGGTACAAGGAGGAACTGGTACTATTCCTTCTGCAACTATTCCAATCAATAGAAAAAGAAGGAATCCTCCCTAACTCATTTTATGAGGCCAGCATCATCCTGATACCAAAGCCGGGCAGAGACAAAACCAAAAAAGAGAATTTTAGACCAATATCCCTGATGAACATTGAGGCAAAAATCCTCAATAAAATACTGGCAAACTGAGTCCAGCTGCACATCAAAAAGCTTATCCACCATGATCAAGTGGGCTTCATCCCTGGGATGCAAGGCTGGTTCAACATTCGCAAATCAATAAATGTAATCCAGCATATAAACAGAACCAACGACAAAAACCACGATTATCTCAATAGATGCAGAAAAGGCCTTTGACAAAATTCAACAACCTTCATGCTAAAAACTCTCAATAAATTAGGTATTGATGGGACGTATCTCAAAATAACAAGAGCTATCTATGACAAACCCACAGCCAATATCATACTGAGTGGGCAAAAACTGGAAGCATTCCCTTTGAAAACTGGCACAAGAAAGGGATGCCCTCTCTCACCACTCCTATTCAATATAGTGTTGGAAGTTCTGGCCAGGGCAATTAGGTAGGAGAAGGAAATAAAGGGTATTCAATTAGGAAAAGAGGAAGTCAAATTGTCCCTGTTTGCAGATGACATGATTGTATATCTAGAAAACCCCATTGTCTCAGCCCAAAATCTCCGTAAGCTGATAAGCAACTTCAGCAAAGTCTCAGGATAAAAAATCAATGTACAAAAATCACAAGCATTCTTATACACCAATAACAGACAAACAGAGAGCCAAATCATGAGTGAACTGCCATTCACAATTGCTTCAAAGAGAATAAAATATATGGGAATCCAACTTAAAAGGGATGTGAAGGACCTCTTCAAAGAGAACTACAAACCACTGCTCAAGGAAATAAAAGAGGATACAAACAAATGGAGGAACATTCTATGCTCATGGGTAGGAAGAATCAATATCGTGAAAATGGCCATACTGCCCAAGGTAATTTATAGATTCAA